>NC_000013.11:81923440-82076281 GCF_000001405.40 Homo sapiens
TACCTAGCATACACCTATCAACTTCATGGTCCACATAAGGCAATTCAAAATATTATTACAAATTATATACAAGAATATCTCACCTACCTCTAGACAACTCAAAATAGATAAAAAGGAAAGAAGAAAATGTTAAATGTTGAAATACCCAGAATATACTAATATATAAATAACTATGTATAAATAACTGTGTTGATTTTACTGCACTTAAATTCAATATGAATTTTAATAGATAATAAATTATAATGGAGGGGGTTATGATTTTGAAAATTGTAAGAGAAAGTAGCAAATAATTTGCTTTATATGTGTAATAGTGGATTTGCAAAGATAAATAAAAACTAACACTTCTGAGTATGATATAATTTAAAAAAAGTCAAGTAAGCTTCTGTAAAACTATAGACTTCAGTAAAATAATTACTTACATGACATTCTGAATTTTATTTTAGGATAGATATAATTTTAATAAATCTTTTTGAATGTACATATTCCACAGGAAGAACATATTTTGCTTAAACCATTTTATTAAATTTGATGACACAAACTACTATTAATAGAAAATAATTCAAAGAAACTAAGAAACTATGACGTAAAGTAAATTTAAAATCTTGTGAAGCACAAAATTAACAGAGTGTGTTATTGAACCTGTAGTTTTAATGTGAATATTAATCATTCAAATATGTGAAAATCACTGCTGTTCACAAGAAGCAAGTCATCAATATAGCCTACATCTATTAGAAACCGTCCTACCCCATCACCCAGAGTATAAATGGAAAACTCTTTTCTCATGCTCCTGCATATTTTTGCAATCACATCACGATTCCTGATTTATTATTTCAATTTGGATTGTGTTCACCTGATGTCACTTTGATAGAAATCTTTTTGTTTTCTATTCTGTACCTCACTCGATATTTAGACCCTGGGTTCTAATACAAATTATAATTGATGCTGGCAAAGTTCATAAAATGATTTTATAAAAATTTTTATTTTGAGATCACTTCAAACCTAAAGAAAACTTGCAAAGTTATCACAAAATTTACAACTTTCACCCAGATTAGTTAACTGGTACATTTTTATGTTTTCTTAATTGTTTTGTCTCTCTCTACACTTAGCATGTACTTCGGAACTACGTAAATATTATTCTCCTCATTAATGTTTAATCCACAAATTTTAACACCCGTAAATAATGCTTGCATGAATCCATGATTACTATCACTGTTTCAAATGTGATTTTTAACTTTATTATTTCTAAGTGTTTTAATAGTTAATTGAGCCAGGCGTGGTGGCTCATGCCTGTAATCCCAGCATTTTGAGAGGCCGAGGCAGGCGGATCACCTGAGGTCGGGAGTTCGAGACCAGCCTAACCAACATGGAGAAATCTCATCTTTACTAAAAATACAAAATTAGCCAGGCGTGGTGGCACATACCTGTAATTCCAGCTACTCAGGAGGCTGAGGCAAGAGAATCGCTTGAACCCGGGAGGCGGAGGTTGTGGTGAGCCAGGATCCCACCATTGCACTACAGCCTGGGCAAAAAGAGCAAAACACCGTCTCAAAAAAAAAAAAAAGAAAAAAGAAAAAAATAGTTAGTTGATATTCTTCTGTAACGGGGAGCTGACCTTTCTCTGTTATCTATGCATTTACGTATCTATCTAGCTATCATATATCTATTATTTATTCTTATTTATTATCTGTATGGACTCATGGGTTTCCTTTTTATAGAGTGAGTTGTAATCCCAAACTGCCACCTTTTTTTTAATGTTCGAGTTTTTCTAGATTTGGCTAGGTAGGGACCCCTTCAATACAGCTCATGTGTTAATTTACATGACCCCATAATACTTTGAACACTCCCTTACTTTCTAGCACAACAGGATGTCGCAGTTGCAGCTTGTGCTTCTGTTGCCTGTAATCTCTGCCTGAGATCAGCTGTCCTTCTCTGAGGTACCTTCATCATTTTTATTAGGGAATGGTATTTAAAATCAAAATCAGGGTCTAGATATATTCATCGCTATTGATGCTACTGGAAGTCTTGTTTCAAAGCCCATTCAGCAAATAGAGTTCAAAATATACAGCACATGTATGTATGTTTGCATACATTACAAAGATGTATATTGATGTGTATGTGTGTGTGTTTTAAAATCATGAGTTTATACTGAAAATCCCATCTCTAATACAGCCCACAAGCTCTTTCTAGCCTTCCTGTATTTCATAGTTGTACCACTCTTCCCTAACATCATTCTGCAATGTACAGAAAGCTTTTATGTAAATGCTACACTGATACCACTGTGAAAAACAATCCTACTAAGTCAAGTTCAAGATTATTATTTCTTTTATATCTTTAGATTTTAAGATATATGCTTTTCTCCTTGGGTTTTCATTCTGCATCAATTCATATTATAATATATGTACACACAAACATATATATATATATAATGTATATAATTGTTCTCTTTTTTAACAGTTTCATAGCACAACATCGTGTGAATATAACCTTTTTTCCAGCAATCTTCTATGTATTAGAGTTTAGTTGCTTCCAATCTTTTGCAATTACAAAACAACACTGTAATGAGTCACCTGATATGGATATATTTTTGATTTCTTAGAGAAAGATCTTAAAAATAAATTCCTTCAAGGGGGATTTGAAGTTTTATTCCAGTTTATGTCAAATATTCTAAAGCATTATTTTGAATCATTATGAAAGCAAAATAATTGGACTTTCCACCTTACTGCACATATTCTTTAGTTTCAGCCCAGAGCCTATGACGAAATCTACAAACAGTTATGAAACAAGTAAAATCTAGAAATTGAACTAACTATAATTGTATAGAAAAATACAAACACATTTCTCAATATGTGGAGAAACAAAACAAAACACAAAGAACTTATACTTCATGATTACACACACACACATATGGACTCTTTGTGATTACACACACATATGGACTCTTTGATCACACACACACATATACACCTGTAGGTAAGTGGGTATATGTGTATATATGCATACATACATATATGTGTGTATATGTGTATATATGCATGCATACATATGTGTGTGTATATAATATACATACATATATGTGTATATAATATACACACATATATGTGTATATATGCATACACACATATATGTGTATATATGCATACATACATATATGTGTGTATATGCATACATATATGTGTATATATGCATACATACATATATGTGTATATATAATATACACATATATGTGTGTGTAATCATAAAGTATGGACTCTTTGTCCATATGTAAACATTAGCTTTATATATATATGTCTCTATATGCTATATAGCTCTCTCTATATATGCTATATTTAGATTAGCATATATGTCACACAAACAAGTAAATGCCATATATCCATATTTATGTATTTATGTACATTTATTTATGTATATATGGCATATATACACATATATGGCATATAAACAAGTAAAGCTAATCTCAGTGTTAAGACATCAGGACAGTTACTACTTTTGGAGGCTGATAGTGACAGAGGAAGAACAAAGAAGGTCAGAGTTGTTGAATAATATTCTATGTCATAACCAGGGTACTTGTGAAGTGACAGTGCCCAACTGGGAGATATTTGTTAAGCAATTTATCAATTATTTATTTTTGTGTATAAAGTAAGAAATTGTTTAATAAAACATTTAAAAGATAAAGTAAATATTTTTTAGCATTTTTTTACATTCTTTCCAAATGTAAGAGAAAATATTTTGAGTTTCAGGATGGTTGTAAATGCAGCAACTTTAGGGATGTATGTAAAACTTTAGAAATAATATGCAGGTTTTACAAAGATAATGCTTTTGTGAGCTTACAAAATTGCATGTATTATTTATAAATGTGGATAAATTTGGGACTTTTTGAAGATTTCACTATGTAAAAGCTTGCAGTGAAGATAGTTAATGTTAACTACTTTAATGGCAAATACTAAGATCTCAGTAACATAACTAAACCAAAGTATATTTCTCATTAAAGAAAACTGATTTAGATCTGGTAACTACATGGGACATCTTTATCCTATTGAGTAACTGTTATTCCAACATGTTTTACAATTATGGCTCCACCATCTCCACACATGGCCACCATAGGCATTGCAAGGGGAGAGGAGATAAAGGCCAAGCATACTGGTGGTTAAGAGTCTCAACCTGAAGTGACATACTCACCATTCACTAGCCAGATAAGTCCTTCTGGCTTCAACATAACTGCAAGAGATACTTGTGGAGCCCTAATAAGGGAAAAGGAGTCAGGCTGGCAGGAGCAGAGGAAAGCAAAAAGAAAGAGCAGATAAGCTGTTTTAAGTCTGCCTTTCTTCATGTTCCAGGGCACATAGCCCTCCTGCGCAAATAACTCACAATCTTCCTGCACTCGACTTGCAACAGATCCTCCGCTGATAGAAAATTTCAAGTTAGCTCACTGCAACCTTGGCATTATCAGTACTACACATAGCCCTCTCCAGCACAAGCACTGTCGTATAAAATCCCCAGCAAGCCTTTTTCTGTTTGCAGTCAGCACCTCTCTTGCTGATCTTCCTATTGCTTTTCTGTAACATATTTTCCTACTTTATCTAATAAATCTGCCTTTTTTTTACCTACAATGGTCTTGGTAAATTCTTTTCACCACCGGTGTTACTGGCCCCAGCTTATTGCCGCCCACAGCAATACTGGGAAATGGAAATTAGTAGTTAGTGTCTTTACCATAATGTGGCAGTCTAGCCACTAATGTCTTTGCTCCTGTTGTCTTTCACACAATTCCTTTCAAAAGGGGAAAAAAATGAAGCCTGCAATCACTGCATACAGGTAGTTTGCTACACAGCCATAGTAAACAGATAATGTGCAGGTTTGATTGAAAGAGAATACAAAGGTGGAGTGCAGTGGTTCACTCCTGTAATCCCAGCATTTTAGGAAGCCCAGGAGGGTGAGTCCAGGAGTTCCAGACCAGCCTTGGCAACATGGTGAAATCCTGTCTGCCAAAAATATAAAAACTAGCCAGTCTCATAACCTGGCCTCAAAATAAATAAATACATTAAAATTTCCAAATAAAAGAAAGAAGACAGAAATATTAGAGAGACTGAAAACATCAGTGAAGCCAAGTAATTCTAGTTTCAAAATTAGCATGTAAACAAATAGTATTTGTACCTGTAATTCTTTTCCCTTTTATCCTTGATGCTAAATTATCTCCTGTATGTCTCCCTTAATTAAGAAGTCGAATAATACATGTGAGACTTTTTGGTTTTAAGAGCTTTACCACATGCTCTGAACAGTCCAATGAATATAGAAAGCTAAAATGTATTATTTAGTCAATGAGAATATAATCTGTACTGAATTCATGGTGGTATTGATTTGCACTTTGCCAGTTCATTATTAATCAATAACTATGAGTTCTTAGTATATCTCGTCTTATAGTTCTATTATGTTTCTTAAGAAATGATGCAAAATTAGATGATAAAATAAAGTCCTGGAATATTACACATTTTATAAGTGAGTGATTCATCTGCTAAAATGTCAAGAGCCTACAGAAAAGCAAGCAGAAGCAATTTGTATGTCTCTTTTATCTCTACCAAGGTGTCTTGATTGAATTTTATAGTTCTTGAGAGGCTATCTCTCTAAAATATGCATAATTTTTATTATGATACATTTTTATGGTTTAAATTAATCTAGAAATAAGTCTGGGACTTGGTTTGCTTCTGAAATCTGATGGATTATATATATTGCCAGGTCCAATAGGTCAAACCATTCCTTTCCCATTCTATCAATTCACTCCTTTTTGAACTACTATCAGATGAGTTAGAGCTTCTCATTCTTCCCTACGTGTATCTTAACCTCTTTTTGGCTGATTTTTAGCTATCTAAGTTTAATGTCATTAATATTTTTCACCATTGTCTTTTGCTAACTGATTTTTCTAGTTATTTTCTAGAGCTAGGTTGCTTCTCCTTTTTCCTATTCTTCATAATATTTTCTTTTCATTTATCTCAGTAATCTTATTACATATCAATAGAGGATACTTTCATATTGTTGTGTATTTCTAGTTCTTAGGGCTCTTAATTGTCTTTTAGACAACCAGCTGACTCCATTGTTTTTCAATTTTTCATGAGGATTGTATTTTGTTGGTTTCAAAATAATTGTTATTTTCACTTTATCATTCATGGTATTATTTGGTTATTATTTAGTGTATAAATTATTAAAGGGGACAGAGTGCATTTTACATAAAGGGAATCAATGCAACTTCTTGTTTGTACCATCAAATTACTTTGAGAGACTAATTACTATGAGAGATTTATGACTTTATTTTATGAAATTATTTTGTACTTAGGTACAACAAAGTCTTCAGAGTTCAAATTAATTTCTATGTTCCTTATGAAGTTTTCACTTTATTTGCGGCATGCTCTCCTCTCTTGTTTACCAGATAATGCTACAAATATTGAGGCTGCAAGCAACTGTAATCTTATTTAGAATAAAATGCAATTTTTATATTCCCCAAAGCTCAGAGTGTTCCATATTAACTTTCGTCTATCTATACTTCTTGTTGTGATGTGAGATAAATAACCATAAATGATCCTAACTCTGTGTTCCGGTGGATGGCTGTGTGGAACCCAATGCAACTGACCTAGGAATTATCACACCAAAATCACAAGGCTGAGGTATTAGTAGAAACTTAGAGAAGGAATTGGAATTTGGAATGTCCCGGAAGCCACTACAACTATCTGCTAAAGCCCTCTAGATGGCAGTAACCAAAAAGGAGTTTTCAACCAAAGGTACTTCCCTTGGTTTCTTCTGCTATGAAAGCTCGCTGCTCACTTCAGATGCTAAATAGGCCATTATCCATTTCATTTGCTTATATGTTCTTTTCAGCTGGTTTCTAATGTGTTTGAATAAAACTGTTTATTTAAATATTCAAACATGCATCATAGTTTTCTGTACACTGTTGAACAAAATGAATGTACTTTTCTAGTATATATGAAATTAAATTGAAGCATAAAATCTTTCATATTGTGAATCATCACTAGTAAGTCACCTAGTATTCTTTGCGTCATTTTTTTCTGTATATATTTATATATCTACATATTTAGTTATCCATCAGGTAAAAAGATAAAGTTTCACGAGAAAATTAGACAATATTGAAATATAAATTGTCAACAACATGAATGTTACTGAAAGATGAATTAATGACTAATAATACAAATACTAATATTAACATGAATAATAATATTAATTCACTTTGGTAGACAATGACAATACAATTAGTGATAGAATATTATAAAATATATTCATATGAATATAATTAGTGAATATTATAATAGTTTTAAAAGATGACCTATTTTTATAATATAATTACTAATTTATTATACTAATCTAGTTTTCCATATACTTGTTACCTATATTAAATAATTAATTAGTGTGTTAACATGCTAACACTAGAATGTTCACATTTTTAACTTTTAAAATATTTACAAAAGCCCATTAAGTTTGCTTCAGATATGAACTTTTTTTGTTCTCTATATTGAATAATTGAATGCCAAATCATGTAAATGTTTCACAATTTTATGGACGTAAGCAACCAATATTCACTTATTCTTAAAAAAGGGAAATTTAGATTTAAAAAAATCTTTCTATGTAACACATTTTTGATCATGTTATCTTGTATTTTAATATTTTTCCAGTACTAAAGTTTTAATTATCAGTTTTAAGAAGCTTGGAAACAAAATTTTCAAATCCTTACTTCCTCCAAGAAAGTGTGTTTAAGGTTACATTACTTATAGAAGCTCTACGTGTTTTCTTTTTTTTTTTCCTTGGCATTTCAAAATAGTTATACATTCCAAATAAAACAGTGTTTTCTTCTGTTACATTGTGACATTTCAGATTTTAGTAACTTTGCATTTCTAATGGTATAGGTTTACAGTAACTGCTAAAAATATTTTATGACTACTTATTTTCTATTATTTCCTCTCAGATTTTCCTTAAAGTCTATTGAATTTATTCTGTTTTGATGTTAGTATAACTATAAGTTTTGTAAGGAAAAATATTGCATCTTCTCATTTCATGATTATAAGTTTGTAACAATGAGCACAGCATGTAGAGCATCTGAAATAGGTATAAAATGGTATCCCAAGATCATACTGGCAATCCTTGCTAAGCTATTTGCCCTCCAGGGACATCTACTTTTAGAAAGAGTTACATAAAGACTTGTCTCTTTTTTCCTAAAATACCTTATCATTTACATCTTAACCAATCTTGTGTGTCAAACTAATTACATATAATAGAGAATAAAAATACTTTTTTATTTTTAAATAATTTTAGACTAACAGTTTATGTTTCAGTAATATCTCACTTTGACTCATAACCTATCTTCTTTTGGTGTGTCATTTTTTGTATTATTTATTTGCTCAAGAATGTCCCAGGAAATTTAATTTTCCTGGTCTTCATATCATCAGTTTCAATATGATGTTAATAATATCAGAATAGGTAATGCCAATAATAACATTATTAATAAAATAATCAGTATTATTCATTGATGTCACTACCAAATTAGGCTCTTTAGGTATGTACCACCTATAGAGTCAAAATAAATTATGCAGAGATTAATAAATGGAATAATTCCTGCCTTCAGGGATTTGATATCTCAGAGCAACAAGCAATATCATATAATACAGCAGAGAAATAATATAATGCATTTAATTAAATAATATACATCACGTTAAATTGTACCTTTCTCATTTTTTGAGTTATTTTTCTCTCAGGCTAATTGCATTGCTTTCATTCATCAGTAAGGAAAAGTATGGAAGGACAGTGGCAGCACAGAGATCAGAAAAGCACTGAGAGGCAGAGCAGTGGGTAAGAAAAGCCATGACTATAATCCCAGCACTTTGGGAGGTTGAGGTAGGCAGGTCACCTGACGTTAGGAGTTCAACACCAGCCTGGCCAATATGGTGAAACCCCCTTTCTACTAAAAATACAAAAAAAGAAAAAAAAATAGCCAGGCATAGGGGTGCATGCCTCTAGTCCAATTTACTCTGGAGGCTGAGACAGGAGAATTGCTTGAACCCAGGAGGTGGAGGTTGCAGTGAGCTGAGATAGTGCCATTGCACTCCAATGCAATAAAGGAATGGAGGGGAAGGGACGGAAGGGGATGGGAGGGGAGGAAGGAAGGAGGCAAGCAAGCAAGCAAGCAAGCAAGAGAGAGAGAAAGCAAGAAAGAAAGGGAAGGAAGGAAGGAAGGAAATAAAGAAAGAAAAGAAAGAAAGAAAGAAAGAAAGAAAGAAAGAAAGAAAGAAAAGAAAAGAAAGAAAGAAAAGAAAGGAAGGAAGGGAAAGAAAGAAAGAAAGGACGAAAGAAAGAAAATAAAGAAAGAAAAAGGAAGGAAGGGAAAGAAAGAAAGAGAAAGGACGAAAGAAAGAAAAGAAAGAAAAAGAAAGGAAGGAAGAGAAAGAAAGAGAAAGGAAGAAAGGAAGAAAGAAAGAGAGAAAGAAAGAAAAAGAAAGAAAGGAAGGAAGGAAAGAAAAAGAAAGAAGGAAAGAAAAGAAAAGCAAGGCAAGGCAGAGAATTTGACAATGAAGAGAGACCCTGCTTGTAAACAAAGATAGAGGGAACTATAGTTTAGGCACATCATAAAATATGAAGGAGTTTCAATGCAAAGTTTAGGAAAATAAAAGCATGTCCAAAAATTAACTCAAGATGGATTAAAAACTTAAATTTAAAACCCCAAACTATAAAAACCCTACAAGAAAACCTAGGAAATACCATTCAGGACATAGGTATGGGCAAAGACTTCATGATAAAAACACCAATAGCAATTGTAACAAAAGCCAAAATTGACAAATGAGATCTAATTAAACTAAAGAGCTTCTGCACAGCAAAGGAAACTATCATCAGAGTGAACATGCAACCTAGAGAATGGGAGAAAATTTTTGCAATCCACCAATCTGACAAAGGTCTAACGTCCAGAATTTACAAGGAACTTAAACATATTTACAAGAAAAAAAAAACATCAAAAAGTGGGCAAAGGGTATGAACAGATCCTTCTCAAAAGAAGACATTTATGTGGGCCAAAAAACATAGGAAAAAAAGCGCAACATCACTGATTATCAGAGAAATGCAAATGAAAACCACAGTGAAATACCATCTCACACCAGTCAGAATGGTGATTATTAAAAAGTCAAGGAATAATAGATGCTGACGAGGCTGTGGAGAAATAGCAACACTTTTTCACTGTTGGTGGGAATGTAAATTAGTTAACTATTGTGCAAGACAGTATGGTGATTCCTCAAGAATCTAGAACCAGAAATACAGTATGACCCAGCAATCCCATTGCTGAGTATATAAACAAAGGAACATAAATCATTCTACTATAAAGACACATGCACACATATGTTTATTACCATACTATTTACAATAACGAAGACATGGAATCAACCCCAATGCCCATCAATCATAGACTGGATAAAGAAGATGTGGTACATATAAACCATGGAATACTATGCAGCCATAAAAAGGAATGAGATCATGTCTTTTGCTGGGACATGGATGAAGCTGGAAGCCATCATCCTCAGAAAAGTAACACAGGAACAGAAAACCAAACACTGAGTGTTCTCACTCATAAGTGGGAGCTGAACATTAAGAACACATGGACACAGAGAGGTGAACAGCACATACCAGGGCGTGGTAGGGGTTGGGGGCTCAGGGGAGGCATAGAGGATGGGTCAGTAGGTGCAGCAAACCACCCTGGAACATGCATACCTATGTAAATACATGCACGTTCTGCACATGTATCCTGTTTTTGATTCATTTTTAGAGAAAATTTTAACAAAAAAAGAAAAAAGAGAAATGAATGTCCTTGACCTCTGAACAAGATATACTCACCATCTGGAAGACTTGGCTAAGGAGAACAGAAGAGAATAAATATTCCTCTGCTGTGAGCTCAACCACAAAACTTCTGTCTGCAGAGGTTAAAAGTTACTACAGTTTCATCCCCAGGCTTTAGGTCATCTGAATTTCTCAGTGGAGACACCTGAATCCAATTCAAACTCTAAGTTATTTTTTCTTAATTCAAGAGTTTATTAAATTTGCTTGTCTACATATTGCTGTCAGATTTTGGAGATAAATTCTAATATTGTAAGAATTTTTTTTAGTGAATGGGATTGTATGAAAGGAAGTAAGCAGATAGAAATGGGTAGCTAGATGATTTACCAAGGGTGGGATTTACTTGTTGTTTCCCTTTATTTTTTTCTCCAATTATGTGAATAGCAATGGAAAAGAACATATACTATAAGACCCAAGATGCAGAGTTCCATAATGAAGACCAAATGTCAATAAAATTATATAATAACTAAATACATCCTAGAAATTCTTCCTGATTATTAATTAATAAACATATTATTAAGGCCCAGTTTACATTACAAAAGAAACTACACTAAGAATGAAATACTAAAATATATTTTAAAAGGATCTAGAATATCTTGCTAATTCAGGGAAAGAAAACTGCCTGAAGCAGAAACCTAATCTTAGCAAGATTGATCTTGTAGAACTGCTAAAAATAAGAACGGTGTAGGTGTCTAGGGAACTTACCCGTCATTCTGACATTTAAACTTTCTTTAGACTCTCACATTGTTCTTTGTTGAACCTAAATGCTGATGATTGTTTGTGCAAAATTCTCTCTTTGGAATTATCCTGAGACTCTAATTTACTACTTGATTTTCCAAATCCATCACTGTACTCAGAGGAACATGGTAATTTTACTATCCTTTGGCAGAGTGACCTACTTAGAACTCAAGTTAATAGATAAAGGTAAGATGAGCTTTTGTAGTAGTCACTGTGATCACAGGTGTAAATAAAATAATGTCATAATTTTTGTGGCATTAAATTTAGAAGATATTATTAATTTTTTATCTATTTAAATGAAGATAATCAATTTGTTTATTGTAACCACCGACAATAAAATTAGAGTTAATCAATACATAATTTCCGACTGTATATTCTGATTATAAATCTTGGAGCCAAATGAGAATGAGTCAGACAAGTCATAGTATCTTTGCTCTTAGTAATTTTGTTTTGTTGGTGATTTCTCAGGAATGCTTGGAGATCTGTGCTATATAGTCAGAGCTAAAATACTTAAGTAAGACATTATTTCTTGTTTTCTTTCAATATGATTAGTAATCCTTCTTGTACTTCGGGCACCAGCACAAACAAACCTCTGCTTACCACCCACAAAACAGTAAGCCTAAGCAGATTTTTTTAAAAAGCTATTATTGAACAGATATTAAAGGTGAGAGTATAATTTCAATCCATGGTGAAGAATCAATTTAAGAATTGAATAAAATTCTAACTGTAACATATTTCAATACAAAGTTGATGCTGCTCATCTTAATTTAGCATTTTGTTTTCTTGCCAAAAATCAATTTGCAGTAGAAAGTCGAAAGCAATTTAGCATGAACAATTAGATAATTCCTGATACATACTGGGCAAAAATAAAGATAAACACATAAGGATTGCCATGGAGAGATTACCAGGTGAATCTAAGATATCTGGGCAAGCATTTTAATCACATAAATGCTATCACTTTCAATTTTTTATTGATACATCATTATAACATGTCTTATTATATATATGATAATATACTGTAAGTATGAACTACAGTTTAGAATTAAAAGTATATAAAATTTAAAAATCATTAATAAATTGCAACTTTTAAAATGATATATTTCAGTTTGATTTTAATGTTATCTATAAATGGTTTTTAACGTAAAAATTCAAGGAGTGTATCAATTATATACTAACATACATTTTGAAATGTAAAGCCAAAAAAGAAAATTAGATGTATTTGTTTTAAAGGGAAAAGCTATTTGTAAAGCAGTTTTGCTGCATTTCTGTAGATGAGCGGTTTCAGGTTAGTGGTGCTTGCTGTGTGTGCATCTCAAGCAACCTAAAGCAGAAAGCCATGGAGGCAGTCACAGCAGGAGGTGTAGAAAGGCTAAATTCCCCTGGACGCAGGCTTGTTTTTCTTCATGACAAGCATGACCCTAGGAATCAAAATCTGTTAGCACAAAGAGGGAACAGAGAACAAAATAAAACGGACAAATAGGGAAATATATATATATATATTATATATATATACATAATATATATATATATAATATATATATATACATAATATATATATATAGTATATATATGTATAAAATCAATGCAGTTATTTTGTAGTATATGTGGAGAAAACCCCCACAAAATATGAGAAAAAAATAGCCTTGAAAGATATTTATTGTTGAAGATGACAAATTTTGTATACCTATTTTACTTCTAACCTATTTGGAGAAAGCCTCTAAAAGAGGCTTTCTATGAAACAACATAGAAAAGTGAGGAAGACTTAAAAAAATTACATTAAAATTAAACATGGCAGGTCACTGTATGTGCTTTTGTCTGTCTCTTCAATTAAATAACAAAAAATGCCAACAAGGGGTGAAAAATATAGTTACCTGGAGAGAAAAGAAGAAATATGATACAGTAGAAGTCTGAAAAATGGAAAGTGGAAGGCAGAGTGATAACACAGTTAATAGAGCAAAGCACCTGGACTCAAAGGCCTTCAGCAACAACGAGTGGCACCGATGAGAACAGAAACATTTTGTACTTTGAGAGGCTGAGGTGGGCAGATCACTTAAGCTCAAGAGTTGGAAACAAACCTGAACAACATGGTGAAATGCCATCTCTAAAAAAATAATAATAATAAATACAAAAAAATAGGTAGGTGTGATGGCATGTCCCCTACAGTCCCAGCTGCACTGGAGGCTGAGGTGGTAGGATCACCTGAGCTAAGGAGGTCAAGGCTGCAGTGAGTTGTCACTGCACCACTGCACTCGAGCCTGGGTGACAGAGAGAGACCCTGTCAAAAAGAAAAAAAAAAAAAGAAAGAACTATTTTTTGGCCACAGGATGAAATCTTTAAAAGCAGGCATTGAGTAAGGACTGCGGTGTTATGTATTTATTAAAATTGACATTTGAAAAGAGAAAAGGAGGAGCATAAGTAAGCAAAAAAAAAAAAAAAAAAAAAAAGGTTGAACTGTGATGCAGGCCAGGTAAGGCCTAGGCCAACCCCACAGGAATCTCTGAAACATATATGGCCTCTCAGAGTTTTTCACATGATCAGTCAAAATAGATCTTTTATTCCATTGCTGAATACCTTGAGGTGTTGCTTTGCCAAGGGCATGTCCTTGTGTAAGGAGGCTTTTGTTTTAAGATAATCCTCCCTGATCTGTAACATTTCAAGTCTCACAAGCAGGGGAACTGAAGCTCTTGGTCTTTCCAATGATGTTTTCATGGAAAATAGCCAGGGAGGTTAGACATATGACGACTCCAAGGCAGAAGTCTGATTTGTTTGATGTCTAGTATAAAAGAGACAAGGTCTCCTTTCAGGACAAAGATGGAGCTCCCAATCCCTCATAAAAGATTGGGGTTACTGAAGTTTGAGGTTCCTCAACTATTACACAGCATTTGCCTGGGTCTACCGCTGCATCACCCCTATAGGAATTGGCGAGCAAGAGAAACCATGCTACTTGTGCCCTGAGTAATCATGTCTTTTGCCTCTGACACAGGAGTCTCTTATCTTCTTCCACCACCTAGGAAGACGAGATGGCCAAAGGTTGTCATGACAGTAGGGTAAAACCTTGAACCTATCACAGTTCTCGACACTTTGTAGTGATGAGGATGGGATGCTAACAGAGGTATGGCTTCCAAAGAAAAGCACAAGTGCTCCCCACAGGCCAGTTAGGGCATTTAAGAAAATTCACTGGGATCTGATAGCAAATGCTTTACATATGGTGGGTGATGGGGGAGAGTAAGGGCTCCCACTGATGAGGGACTATCTGTTAATGAATGTTTAGAGGCTGTGTCAATAGGGATAATTGAAATAAGTTACTTGAACATAGTTTGGTTTTTGTACATTGCCCTTTGGGTGGGGGGGAAGATGGAATGTTATCATGGGGCAGCAAACCCACCCAAAAGGCAATGTGTCTGCTGCTGCTAAGTGAAGAGATACCCAAAGTAAACACAGAACTTTAGGTGCATCAAATTGAAAATCTATTTTGGGGAACTGTGAGCATCTGTCACAAAGTTTTTGAAAATAGAAGTAAATGTGCTTTGCTTAGTGTTGTAGAATTGCTGTCTCTCTCCATGCCCTGTGATCCCTCTCTTGCCCTGTACCCTGATCACACTTGCCTTAAGAAAAAAAAAAATCAATATGATATTGGCTGTGAGTTTGCATTAATTGCTCTTATTATTTTGAGATATGTTCCATCGATACCTAATTTATTGAGAATTTTTAACATGAAGCAATGTTGAATTTTATAAAAGGCCTTTTCTGCATCTATTGAGATAATCATGTGGTTTTGTGTTTGGTTCTGTTTATGTGATGGATTACATTTGTTGATTTGCATTTGTTGAACCAGTCTTGCATCCCAGGGATGAAGCCAACTTAATTGTGGTGGGTAAGTTTTTTGATGTGCTGCTGGATTCGGTTTCCCAGTATTTTTTTAAGGATTTTCACATCGATGTTCATCAGGGATATTGGCCTGAAGTTTTCTTTTTTTTTGTTGCGTCTCTTCCCAGTTTTGGTATATCAGTATGATGCTGGCTTCATAAAATGAGTTAAGGAGGAGTCCCTCCTTTTCAATTGTATGGAATAGTTTCAGAAGGAATGGTTCTGGCTCCTCTTTGTATTTCTGGTAGAATTCAGCTGTGAATCTGAATTCACAGGGCCTACTGGGGGGTAGGGTGAGGGGAGGGAACTTAGAAGATGGGTCAATAGGTGCAGCAAATCACCACGGCACATGTATACCTCTGTAACAAACCTGCATATGCATCCCATTTTTTATTTTTTAAGAAGAAATAAAGAAAAAATAAAAATAAAATAAAATTAGTATACAAGGCAAAAAAAGAAAAAATAATAACTAGGGGTGAAGATGAGGTCTCCCAGTTCCAGTGAAGGTTGAACACCATTGCGCTTGGCTGGGTATGCTGGGGAACTGGGGTTAGGAGACTACAAAATTTTATGGCCCTATTAGATATAGGCATCAAAGTCACCATCCAATCCCATCCTGTGGGCAGAGGTTTCATGATGGATTGTGGCCAGGGTTGGCAGGTGGTGAGGTAATATAGTGTGACTTTGTAGGTGAGGCCCCACAGGCTAATTAAATATACTGATTTTGTTGGTTTTATATGTGAATATATAATAGGAGTTGATGTGGTATAAGTTTGTACATTCCTATACCAAAACTTCCAGGGGGAAACATCATTGTAGAGGAAGAGCTGCAGGTAAAGACATGCTAGTGGGTCAACCTTCCCATTCATTTTCTGCTGGTATGCAGGTAATACTTTAACATGAATGCCTCTACCCACTGTCCAACGTTCTCACTTTATAGTGTTCTGTATTTGGCAAGTCAGAATCCTCAGTGCCCATTGTCCTGATTAGTATTATCACAACTCTTTCAGCAGGGTTGCCTGATAAATCCTGATAAAATTGGGAGGCTTGCTTCTGCTTGCAAAGTAAAGTTCCTTGGGACTATATGAGCAGAGTCACAACTCACTGCTTACAGCAATCAAATAAAAACTGCTATCTCTCTGACCTTCACTGGAAAAAGGCCACACAATATTATTGGGTTCATTGGATATTGGAGAGAGCACACATCTCTGTGACTGATGGTTCTGTTGATGTTGATTGGAGCTCCCGAGAAAGAGAGGTAGCCAACTTACAGAGGTGCCCTTTGAGATTTTGGACTCCTTGCCTCCCTGACATGGATCTCAGGTTCATTACTATTAAATTATTATTTTTTTTTTTTGAGAAGCATCTATTAGGTTTTCATAGGCTCTGGTCAAGATTAAATGGAGGCATTAAGAATTTCAGGTTTTATATTCACATTTAATTTTTTGTCACCTCAGATTCTATGACTAACAGGGTAGGAAAAGCCTAAAAAGCTTTGCTTGTTAAATGCAAATGATAGATTTAGGAACACATCAAAAAGGGCACTAGCTTTAAATAAAAAAGTGACAGATACTCCTTTAAAAAAAACTTCATCTCCCACTCTGCCCCAGATGAAAAGTTTCCTGGCTTAATGGGGCACTCAAGTCATAAAATCCCTGAAATTCCTGGGCCTGATTCACTGATGTCTCAGCTAAACATAAACCTGGTGGTGCCCAACTAGGCTACTGTAGCTATTCCAACTCAGCACCAGTTCCGCAGAACCAAAAATTAAAATGATTATGTCAGTCACTGAACAGACTAGCCAGTACTCCTCTTGATGTTGGTCAGTACTTTTAAAAATGTTTTCCATCTTTACTGAGGTAAAATTGATAAAATTGGCATATATTTAAGATGTTTAACTTGATGTTTTGATGTACACATACAATAATATGTATAAAATAAGTGCAGCAACCAAACCAATTTACATATCCATCACCTCACATATTTAACTTTTTTTGTGTGTGGTGAGAACACTCAAGGTCTACCCGCCTATCAAATTTCAAGTATACAATATAGTATTGCTAACTATAGTCACATTGCTGTAAATTAGATTTCTAGGACTTATTCACCTTACATAATGGAAATTTTATACCCCTTGACCAACATTTTCCCATTTCTCCCTCCCTACAGCCCGTGGCAACCACCATTCTAGTCTTTACTTTTATGAGTTCAACTTGTTTACATTTCATATATAGGTGAGAACATGTAGTGTTTGCATTTATATGCCTGGTGGCTTATTTCAATTAACATACTATACTATGGGTTCATCTATATTACCTCAAATGGCAACATTTCCTTTTATTTTTTGAGAGTTGGGCTCTCACTGTGTCATCCAGGCTAGAGTGGAGAAGAGCAATCATAGCTCATTGTAGCCTCCTCTAACTCCTGGGCTCCTGATCCTTCTGCCTCCACCTCCTGATTAGCTGGTACTAGAGTTGCATGCCACCACACCAAGCTGCCTTCTTTTTTAAGGTTGAATAATATTCGATATAAATGTATATCTCATATCCTATTTGTTCATCTGTAGATAAACATTTAGGTTGTGTCCATATCTTGGCTATTGTGAATAATACTGCAATGAACAAGGAAACACAGATATCTCTTCAAGATACTGATTTTATTTTCTTTTGCCATATACTCAGAAATGAGATTGCTGAATCACAGGTGGTTCTATTTTTAATTTCTTGAGGAAATTCCATATTGTTTTCTATAGGGCTGTATCAATTTACATTTCTACAAAACAGCGTACAAGAGCCTCCTTTCCCCAAACTGTTGCCACCACTGATTTTATTTTGTCAGGTCAACTGTAGGCAGGCCTGTCCCCAGGAAGCACAGATGGATGTGGCTCCTCTCAGATGCATGGAAGATTGAGACTTTGATTGGGGAGGGCTAAGTCAGAGAAGACAGAGGAATAGGGTTGCTTCCCAGTCTGCAGCCAGGATGTTGATCAGGGATGCGGACCTGTCTTATCAAAGTGACTTTCTTCTGTCTTGGGATCCACTGGGGGTGCGGCAACCATTTATCTGAATCATTGAATTCCCACAAAGGAATCCTTCTACAAAAATGGTTGCCAAGTTTGTGTTTCTCTGGGTGCACAAGGGCTGGGCACGTCCTACTCCTCATCTTGCTGATATCACTTCTCTTACTCTGTTCTTAAGAAACAGTAGATATTAAGTTTTCTAATAATTTTTTCTCAGTCAAATGAAAAGAAGAAAACATAAAATAATAACTGAGTGAACATCATTTATCTCAAGAAATATTTCAATGATTTCCTCTTCATGTTTTATCAAGGATCACAATATATTTGCATTAATTTTAATCTAATCGCATGCATATATAAGAGCAAATCTTATATTACTTATTAATAAAATACAAGTGCTTTTTAAAGATTGTACTAGAGCATGAGATCAGGAACAGAAAATATATCAGCATACACCTAAACTGCATTGTTCGACAGGGTTATGTATTTTAGTAATTCTGAAAAGTACATGTATTTCTGATATAAAATGGCATTATTTTATTGCAGAGAAAGAGGTTTATTTTGAGAATGAGAAACCATGAAATTCTACTATAAAGATGTATGATTTACTGTCTATTGCTTTCACAACATTCTTTACATAACAATGGTGCCGATGTTTGCTGTAGGGTACTTTAGAAGGTCAGATAAACCCAATAGCAGTAAAAATATTTCACATTCAAAACAAATGACAAGAATAAGAATTATTTGACAGTATTTCTGAGATTAAATTTATTGCTTATGAATCAATTATTATTTTTCTTTGTTTTTGTTTAAACAACTATCATAATAGGCTTTTATTCTATATTTTGGAATGTTTAAGTATTTATCTTTATTATCATTAATTTTAGGGTACCTTCGATAATGTGGTTGTGAATAGGTTCTTGTCACAGAACAAAATTACTCTTATGATATAATCTTTAAGAAATATAAAATGAAAATTCAAAATTATATTAAAAGTTTTCTAAAGACAAGAGGTGAAGGGTATTAACTTTTTGTTTCTTGTGGTAAGAACATTTGACATGAGCTCTACTCAATTAACAAATATGAAAAATTGATAATGTTAACTTATAAGAACAATACCCTAAGTACTGAACAGCTAAGTACTGAAAGGATAAAATGTATCTAAATACAAAGGTGCATTGACCACCTATTAATTACCACACCCTTAAGTAAGCCATAAAACAGTGTTACAGAGAATAACACACTCTACCTACCAATACAATCTTATGATTTGGTGATGCCTTAATCTGTGTATACCTATTTAGGTGAAATATGAGTAAAATTAATAATCTATTTTGTATGGTAGGGTGTGATGGGGATTAAAGGGAAGAATAATTATAAATGGCTGGAGACAAGTAAAATAGGGTAATACTGTAAAAGCATCTATATAAACAAAAAATATTTAATCAAAGGAAGTAGCATCAGAAGATAAATTAGAAGAAAGCCGAGGGCAGGTATAATAGAGGTGATATTGTTAGAAAGGAACATAAAGTGTAAATGTACTGGTAAAATAATATACAACTTTAGAAACTTAATTTGGTCTACATCAAATAACCATCAACTAGGCTTATCTGCTGTTCAAACCGTTGCTTCTAAACTTTTTGAGAAGGGGATAAAGTTTTCTCTTTCAAAATTTAAATGTACATGAATTTTTAAAAATTTACCTGTAACTTTTCATATTAACCAAAGAAAACTTCCAAAGGTATATTTATATTATATATCCTTATTAAAAGTTTACAAATTACAATTCTTACTCTGCCTTTTATGTGTTACAGTTTTCTAATTTTCCTCATATTTTTGTAATTGAATGAAGCAACAGAGTGTAAGTTTTTAGGGTAACTGTGGTGAATATCAAGAAAAACTATATTTAAATGTGCATTCAATTGAAAAGATAGTGATAAAGAAATTACTAATATTAAAATTAAGATAAAAACATAAGAGTAAAATTCAAGAAAACAACTATTTAGAATATTTGTCTCAAAAATAAATTGAAAAATAAATCTATAGATTGCCTTTTTGTCTTTACCATTAAAGATCTGTTAACTTTTCATATGTCAGAGTATGTTCTTTTTGTTTTCTTCATCTCATTTTTGATTGATTTACCTATTTTTGGATATTCTTGGAATTCAGTATGTTTACATAATTTTATAATCAACTTGGTATTTACCACTCACATATACATTTATTCACATACACATAAACAAATGAAAACACATCTACAAATTCTACTGGAAATTTGATTGGAATTGAACTGAATAATAGATCAATTTCATGATTAACTCTTTCCATTCATAGACATATTGCTTCACAGTATTTAAATTACCTTGTCTTACCTTAATAGAAAAAATAAGTTTCAATCTCAACCTCATGTCATACACAAAAATAAAACTAAGTAAATTGCAGATATCAATGTGAAAATCAAAGTATAGAATGTTTTAAACATATAGTGTAATAACTTTTTAACTTGAGCATGGGCTAAAATGTCTTAAATAGGACCAAAAAATGGTCTTATCCATAAAGAAAATAACCTGGATTTTATTAAAATTAAGACTTTTATTCATAACACATCAGTAAGAGTACTAGCATACTTTTGAAACTTAATGTGGTTCCACACATCTGGCTAAAAAAGGCAGAACTACCAGTTTATCCCAGCCGATTGTCCACCCTCAACACCATGAATTAAATAACGATTGATATTTTAGGTTTTGGAATGGTATGTTATGTAGCAAACGCTAACTTTAAAACCAAATAAAACTAAATGTCTAAGTGATATATTGAATTGCTGAGGAAAAAACATATGCCCAAATGAGTTATGAGCTGGTAGATGATTTCAGAAACCACAAGCACATAGTGTATTTTTACCCCCATGTACCCAAAATAAAGTGTATTTACAATTAATATGCATGGAAATAAAGGGATATCATTGGGTAATTTTTTTGTGTACATGATATTGTGGGAGAAAATGGGGGAATGGTACAGAAACTTAAATAAACTACTTCTGTACTTTATTTTTTTCTATTTTATATGATTTTATAGTGCCAGGACCTGTATTTGATTTATGAGGTCCAAAAGAAAAAATAATGTTTAAATAGGACACCATGACAATACCTCAAATATTATTGTCCAAATTCCTCACAGAAAGTTCAGGTGGGTTCTTCCTTCCCCCCTGGCTAGGCTGGGAAGAACAGTTTCTGCCTATCTCCTGCAAAGTGAATTGAGACAATCTTATGAACTTGTGTATATTCAGCCTTCCTCCATGTAACTAGGGATGGATGATGGGGAAGAATTGCCCATTTTCATTTTGCAGACAGATTTATGAGTCATGCAAACCATCTCTTTAGTTCCTTATCATTCCTGAATTTAGTAAGCAGATGTTTCTATTGCTTTGTTTAATTTTTAATCACTCCATTATTTTCTGTATGATGATGTGTATGATAAGTCCATTGTCTATGATGATTCTTAGCCCATTGCTTTACCACTTGCAGTTAAATGATTCCTTGATCAAATTACATATAAGCACAAAGTCCAAATGAAAATAATATTTCTTCTCTAGACCTCTAATAGGGTTAAAGTTTTTGCTTCTGTAAGCCAATATACTAATCTAAATTCAAATGAGCCCAGGGCCTTGTGTAACACACAAGATCCTTTGCTTTTAGCCTTTAATGGTCTTATTAGTAAACAGAACAGTTGTTAGTAATATTGTGAGCCTCTGACAGAAATTGTGAAATACATTTTATTTTTCTACCCATGAGTGCATTTATTGAATGCCTACATAGTTGTTAGTCTTGTGTGCCTGTGGGACAACTTCCAAATAGTTCAGGAAGTCATCCATTTGTTGTTACCTGTCCCCTTCCTGAGTTTAAAAGTATATTTAATGGCCATAGACATGACGTATTTGATGCTCTCTCTCCAATTCCGTAAAGTTATGTATCACATTTTATCTTTTAGTTATCTAAGCCACATTTTCCAGAATATGTAGTTAATTTAGTGATTACTGTACAAGAATAATTAAAAACCCATACCATTATGTTATGTTATTTTCTAGTTCCTCTCATACCTCAAGACACTGTAATTTTAATTACGCTCATTGTGCGAATGTATCTTTTCCTCAAGAGCAACCATCACCTAGATGCAAAGCATTGTTCTTCGGACTGAACGTCAGTTATCTTTGATCTACCATTGATAAACTATGCTATTTGATATCTTCCAAGAACTGGTCATGGGAAGGAGCCCTTTGGCTATGTAGTTAAGTAAATTCTTACAGGAATCTAACATAGACCTAGGCAAAAGCCAGGGCAGCCACCAATTCATATAGTTCCTGATGCTCCAGTAGTCATCGAAGTCATAAATTCTTGAATATATAATTTCTACTAAATGAGAGAAATCTTTACATCTTCTTCTGTGTGGGACCAGAATTTGTCACAAACCAATATATGAGGGTTATTTCAACTCTTAATACAGTGTAATATTCTTCTGTAATAGAAGTTTAAATGCAAACTCAACAAGAAGTCAATAAATTCCTTTCAAACTTTGTGTTCCTTGAAGCTGTGTCAAAATCCCAGCAGTGGACTGAGGGTGACAGTTATAGGCTTTTCCAAGAGATTTCTTATAATTAGTTCCAGTTGATTTATTAATTGAAATTTTCTTATTGCCACTTCCCCTCTATGTATCTTATAATGTTTTAAATTAACAACTTGAATTGTTACAGGTAATAATAAAGGTTCTCATTTTGCATGCCATATTAAACAAGATGAAGAGTAGATTTGCACTACATCCCTTTTCCAAATAGTTTGGATATGAGAAGACTGCCTTATTCAGACATCCTATGAATTTCAATAATATATTTTGATGAGGGTGAGCAAGAATTGTACATAACTTTCCTTCATAAATTCTCCTATGAGATACACTTTCAGTTGTAAATTATCTACATTATACTACCATTAGCATAATTTATTGCATTTATATTATCTTCTAATATTTATTAGATTTAGGAGTATTGTTTCTTTAGTGTATTCTACTTGGAATTATTTGGGCTTCCTGATTTGTGTTTTTCAACAGTTCTTAAAATATACTTACCCTATTATATTTTTGAATACCACCTCGTCACACTTCTCTCTCTTTACTCCTTCCAAATATCTGATTAGATATTTAAATCCTCTTTCTCTAATCTCTGAGATTTCTACTCACTTTTTAATAGTTTCTTTTTCACATTTTGCATCATTATGTTTGATTTCTTGTTTTATTGTCAGGTTTACAAATTTTATTTCCATTTGCAGTGAATCTCCAGTTTATCTCATATACTTAGGGGCTAATTCTCTTTCTTATGTATTTTATGTCTAGAAATATATTTGATATTGTGAAACATTTGGCTTGTTTTTTTATAGTGTGCTGTATTATCATATTTCTGATGTTCTCTTTCATTTTTGAACATATTGTATATTTGTGTTTTATATGCAGTATCAAAAATCATTTCATCATCTGTAGTATTTGGCAGGTCGATTCTGCTCTAAGTGTTGTGATTTCTTAACATAGCAGATTTTAAGTTTTTTTTTAATTTTAAAAAATTATGTAATGTGTTATTTGGTACTGCCTGAGAAAAGCCTGGGAATATATTATATATCAAAAAATTACTTGCGTTTATCGTTGCAAATTACAGGTAGTAAATATAAATTGAAAATCCACTTAAACTACAACTTTAGCTTGAAAACTTTAAGTCAGTCACTCAAGTAATGCAAATATAAGTTTATAATTAGCAATGTACAAAGACGTTTTTATTTTTTCTTTTCCTCCTTTCACGTGGACCTCTGGTGGAGTATTTTTCTTTCCTCATTTATCCGTGGAATATGCTAACCTTTAGAATGGTTGAATTGTGTGCCATTTACTTGAATATTAGTCTTTGTCTGTTACCCTATGTGCCACTTTCCGTGCCATCTATGTAGTACAAACAGTGAAGTTTCAAGGACAATAGGGATCTGTAGTTACCCCAGGTTTGGTGACCACTCATATCTCTGAACTTGTGATTAATTTTTGCTTCTGGTTTCTGAGAAGTTCCCATATATCCTTGTCAACTGGTCAGGATTTTTAGATATGTAAACATCCAATATTCAGTGTTTTTTACTGGAAGAATTTTTATACTTCTCATTCATCACATGCTAAAAACTAAGCAGTACATAGTGTCATTTCTGCAGGAAATACTTTCATAGAACAAAGTCTAGCAATAGTCTTATTATAATATATATAATTACATTATAGGACATTTTACAACAGCATATTTGTTTGAGTTGCAAACACAGTTGATAGTAAAAGACAAAACCAAGAAACTGTAAAATTAATATGTCATTTATTAAGTAATTGCATACATTGTTTGCTTACATTATGGTATGTATCTTTCTGAATCCCGCAAATAGTAGTCAAAGTAAAATGCAAAATCTACATCTTCTTTTCTTGGAAGCTTTTTGTGATCAAAAGAAAAGTAAAACCAGTTATATCTTATTTATACCAATATTGTCTCTTCTGCATATATTCATCATAGCAGTCATCATACTCTAGTTATATGAAAGTTCTCTTCATATTTTTTAAGTCGTAAGCACCAAGCATAGTATTTGCTAGGCACATGATAGGTATGTGTTTTTTAGCTTTCTAGTTGTAAGCCTTAGAAAACAACCACATTATGAGTAAGATGTTGAGTAAGAAAGGAAAAATGTCTTAAAACTATGAAATTATACATCTTAATGATTTTTATTATATTTCCTTAGTAGCATGCTAAAATATTGAAGACTATTTAGCTTCATGTATCAAATGCATCATAAAGTATTTTAATTGCAATACTTTTAACATTCTTTACAATATTTATTAAACTAATAAATCCCTAATCTATAAAAAGTTGCCCTAGCATTTTTAGATATTGCTGATAAATTAATACTCCAAATGCTAACCCTCTACAATCCAGCTATATTAAATAAGTGTTTTCATAGGCATTTAACATTTATTAAAATCCTTATTATAAATGAGGAAATACAAAGTCAATTTTGTTTTAGGGGATGCTTCATAGCAATATGTAATTTTTATGGTGATACTCTTTCCAGAACAAACTGAAGAAAAAAAAAGCTGCGATAAAATTGTCACTTAGATAAAGTGTTTGCAATGAGCTTTTGTGTGTTGTAGAAAACTGTTTTATATATGCCTGTCATAATGCTGTGTTTGCAGTTCAGTAAACATACAGCTTAAGCCAAATAACTGTGTCAGCAGTTGATTACAGATCAATATGTTCACAGTACTGCCGAGTGCTGAATTAAAAAGAAAAAGTTCTGTTTCAGAGACAAATAATATTGATGACTCAAGAAAACTTTTGTTTAGGATATACTTCTGATGTTGTATAAAGTATATTATGCAGCATATGATAGCTATATTCTTAAATTATTGCTTGTTCAATTAACTATTTTTTGTAAATTTTTATTTAATTGCATTATTGTAAAATATTTATTAAAATATTTGATTGTAATACCCTTACATTTAGATATGTCCACCAAAGATGTAGGTCAAGATATATTTCTTAAAATATTACTTATAATAATCTGATTTCTTTTAACTTTAAGATATTCAATGCTAATATACACAGTATTATAGTTAAGTGAATTCACAAACTAATGTAAAATGTTTTTGTATTATACTGTAGCCTTGGGGTTTAACTATCAAAGATGTTTAAATTTTTTGTGAAAAGTGAACAGACATTTTGCAATTTTACTAATTACTGTTAATTTAATTTTGCAAGTATATTTAGATAAATACTGTAAAGATTTAAACTTAAATAATATACCATATTAGTAATTAAATATTTTTAGTAAATAATTTACATCTATGAACATAGTTTTCTTTTACTAGTGACTTCAAAGAAAAATTTCTCTCATAACACTGGCTATTGAAATTTTCTACGATTTTATATAGCTTCCTGATTATAATAACTCAATACAATTTATACACTATTCATTAAATTAGTTGATTCTTAAAGCAGATAAAAGACTTTGGAATCCTTATCATAATTTTTATGAGTAGTGAAACTTATTATGAGGTGATAAATCATTTGTATAAGGCACTGATGTTAATAGCAATGGAGGCAAGATTTGAGATGATGTCTTCTGATTCCAAAGGCTACCTGTGCTTTTTCCAATGAATTTAGTTGAAAAAAAATTACTTGAATTTGTATTTTGCAAAAATAATGCTGCTAGAGTTATCCTATATGAAATGAATTACTCTAAGTAATGTCAGTTTGAAACATGCAATTCACTTATCCCATTGCAGAGAGCATTCGAAGATGTGGCTTTTGAGACAGCAGTGTAAAGTAAGGATCTACGCCTTTAAAGTGTGAAAGCTTCGGTAGGGCTTGGTGAGGTGGGAAATATTGCTTCTTTATTTCTGTCTGCTTCAGTTATGGCAAAGTTCTACTGATTTTATAACATGTATGAAACACTGAAATTTTTTTTATTATACTTGGAAAATCTGAATTGGAATTGTTTTACCTTGTAGAATAATAATACCATCTTTATTATAGAGCTTTGTCACTTCACATGGGTGCTACCAAATAATGCAAGTAGTCCTGTCTGCTCTGGGACTCAGAGAATTATTTTGTTTTGTTTTCGAACTTGTAGAAACATCTTTTAAGTTAACCTTTTTCAGATTTTTGAAAACCAATTTACCATTTAGACATACTTGCATCTTCTATCGCTGATGGAATCTGAAAATGTTGATCGGAATACCATAGAGCCATTTTCAGTTTATTCACCTACCATATACATTTCCTGCAACAATAAAGAACAAAGATGGAGAGTTCTCAGTGAATGAAAATTGATGATGGAAAATGAAGTAGAGAAATGGTTCAATATAAGAGAAAAGAAAATAAAGTGTCTCAAAGTGATTTCTAGTCATGATTTAAATGATAGGACTAATATGTTTTAATACATAAAATGAAATATCTACCAAATGCACTTAGCAACATTTAATCATTATTATTGCAAAGCATATTAGATGCATAATCCAGTCTTTGTAAACTATTTGGCATATTTCTGACTCTAAATGATATACTTTATATACCATGTTATATACATTATTAATGGACATATGTTAGGTCACAATTAATGCTATTCTTACAACTTAATAAGTAAATTCCATTTTCCTAAAATTCTCATTCTCATCATCTCACGTTTATTAAAATTTTATTCACAAACAAAATGTCCAAATATATTAAAATTAATGGTTGTACTCTTCAAAAAATTTATTAAATAGTATAATTATAATGATTTTATGCATACACAAAACCAACACACATTATAAGTTGGGTCATAAGGTATAATGTAAATAATACTACCTGTGCATTTTATATATTAAACCACACAAATTATATGATATTTGATACATTTTAATCATTTGTGAGTTATATGTCTTCATTATAAAAGCCCTAAAGGTAAAAAACAGTTAAAATAATTTCAGTAGATATTTATTGCACATAGTTTTTAAATTATAATTTGATAGGAGCAGTGAATAGTTAAAGATGAGAAGTTATTGAGGCATATCTATTTTGTTGCTTAGGCTAGTTTTAGATGTGAATGTTTGACAGCATGAGAGTTTCATCTACAGCTTTTGGAAATTTATGAAAGTGCTAACAAAATGGAAGATATTATCCTTGCTATAAGAAACAAAATATACTAAGATAACACATATGGTTGAGTAAGAAAGCCAAATCTACCTGGAAAATCTTAAAATAAAATAAAGTGAAATAAAATAAAATAAAATAAAACAAACCGACAATCTTCTGTGTTATTGTCGTGAGGTTATTTTTTTCCTGAGATCAAACGGCTCAAGCAGCAAAAAATAAATTTTTTTAAATGCACACATAGATAAACTGAGCACACATTCATAGAAGTCTATATCTTTGTGAAATTTAATGTCATGAAAACATTTTCCAGAAAGAAAAAGATGTAACTTAAAAATTATTAAACATGATATTAACTTTGGGCTTAGGCTTTTAAACTGCAATGAAGCAATACCTTAAAGTTTAGATAGACAATTTCATTTTGAATTTAGAATCATGTATTCGACCAAGTTATTAATTGTTTGTAAAATTTAATATAGATATTTCTGGACAATAATTGTGTTCCCACAGGAATGTCACTTGAACAGATTAAAATGTGGGAATTAACTATGAAAGTTAGTACATTGAATACAGGAATTAGAGGATCAAACCAGGAAAAGTAGCTCTGATATAACAGCAGTGTTGTGGGAGGAAATAATGGACCTAAGATGGAAGAACATAGCAACAGACTCCCAAAAACACTATATTAGAAAATTTTCGAAAAGCCGTGTTTTCAGTCCCACCAACAGTGTAAAAGTGTTCCTATTTCTCCACAACCTCTCCAGCACCTGTTGTTTCCTGACTTTTTAATGATTGCCATTCTAACTGGTGTGAGATGGTATCTCATTGTGGTTTTGATTTGCATTTCTCTGATAGCCAGTGATGGTGAGCATTTCTTCATGTGTTTTTTGGCTGCATAAATGTCTTCTTTTGAGAAGTGTCTGTTCATGTCCTTTACCCACTTTTTGATGGGGTTGTTTTTTTCTTGTAAATTTGTTTGAGTTCTTTGTAGATTCTGGATATTAGCCCTTTGTCAGATGAGTAGGTTGCGAAAATTTTCTCCCATTTTGTAGGTTGCCTGTTCACTCTGATGGTAGTTTCTTTTGCTGTGCAGAAGCTCTTTAGTTTAATTAGGTCCCATTTGTCAATTTTGGCTTTTGTTGCCATTGCTTTTGGTGTTTTAGACACGAAGTCCTTGCCCATGCCTATGTCCTGAGTGGTAATGCCTAGGTTTTCTTCTAGGGTTTCTATGGTTTTAGGTCTAACGTTTAAGTCTTTAATCCATCTTGAATTAATTTTTGTATAAGGTGTAAGGAAGGGATCCAGTTTCAGCTTTCTACATATGGCCAGCCAGTTTTCCCAGCACCATTTATTAAATAGGGAATCCTTTCCCCATTGCTTGTTTTTCTCAGGTTTGTCAAAGATCAGATAGTTGTAGATATGCGGCGTTATTTCTGAGGGCTCTGTTCTGTTCCATTGATCTATATCTCCGTTTTGGTATCAGTACCAGCTATTTTGGTTACTGTAGCCTTGTAGTATAGTTTGAAGTCAGGTAGCATGATGCCTCCAGCTTTGTTCTTTTGGCTTAGGATTGACTTGGCAATGCGGGCTCTTTTTTGGTGCCATATGAACTTTAAAGTAGTTCAACCATTGTGGAAGTCAGTGTGGCGATTCCTCAGGGATCTAGAACTAGAAATACCATTTGACCCAGCCATCCCATTACTGGGTATATACCCAAAGGACTATAAATCATGCTGCTATAAAGACACATGCACACGTATATTTATTGTGGCACTATTCACAATAGCAAAGACTTGGAACCAACCCAAATGTCCAACAATGATAGACTGGATTAAGAAAATGTGGCACATATACACCATGGAATACTATGCAGTCATAAAAAATGAGGAGTTCATGTCCTTTGTAGGGACATGGATGAAATTGGAAATCATCATTCTCAGTAAACTATCGCAAGAACAAAAAACCAAACACCACATATTCTCACTCATAGGTGGGAATTGAACAATGAGAACACATGGACACAGGAAGGGGAACATCACAGTCTGGGGACTGTTGTGGGGTGGGGGGAGGGGGGAGGGATAGCTTTAGGAGATATACCTAAAGCTAAATGACGAGTTAATGGGTGCAGCACACCAGCATGGCACGTGTATACATGTGTAACTAACCTGCACACTGTGCACATGTACCCTAAAACTTAAAGTATAATAATAATAAAATAAAAAAAAAGAAAAACAAAAAAAACGAAAAGCCGTGTTTTGTAGTATCAAGAGAAATTAATTTCAAAGAAGATTTTCTCTTCACTGAATATAAAAGTAAAGAAAGTTATGAGTTCACTTTAAAATCATTTTTTTAAATTGGAAAATAATGCTTGGGAATAAATCAACTACTGCTCACTGCTCAGCGTTAAGAGGAAAAACAGGTATTGTTCACTAATGACAAAAATAGTCATTATTTAACAAAGTGCATGCTACATCATCATGTACTCTATATAGATACTTTGCTTGCAAAATTAAGTAATTGTTTTTCTTGTACATACAGCATGATAATTTCATTAAGTTATAGATATCAGAAAGGAAGTTTACACCAAACAATCACACATTTTTATTCATATTCATCAAAAACTAGAAGCAACCTTGAATAGGTGATTAGATTAACAAGCTGAGACACAGCCATACAATTAAGTATTATTCACCAATACCAAAAAAAAAAAACTATTGCTAAAATAATAAGAAGCTGTAAATGAATTTTAAACTCTTATTGTTAAGTAAAAAAGAAAAAAAAAGCAATCTGTATAAGCTACCTATTTATGATTCCAATTATAGAACATTCTGGAAGAGGTAAACCTGTAGTAAAGATAAAAAGGTCAGTGGTTACCCTGAGTTTGAGGGTGTTATGGGCTGACTGATATTCCCTACAATTCATATGTTGAAGACTTAAATCCACAGGACGTCAGAATGTGACTATATTTAAGACAGAGCCTTTAAAGAGTAATTAAGTTATTAGGCAACTAGAGTTATTAAATAATTTAGAGATGGGCTCTATTCCAATCAGACTGGTGTCCTTATCTGAAGGGGATATTAGGACATAGATAGAGGCATCAGGATGTGTGTGCTCAGAGGGACCACCATGTGAAGAGGCAGTAAATGAATGACCAACTGCAAGCCAAGAAAAATCCCAAGAGGGAAGCAAAGCTGCTGAAACCATGATTATAAACTTTTTTCCTCCAAAACTGTGAGAAAGCAAATTTTGGTTGTTGAAGCCACTCAGTCTGTGATATTTTATTATGTCAACTAGCAAACTAATGCAGGGAGCCTGGGAGAACCTTGAATAGTTAAAGCACAGGAGATAATTTAGAGAGGTGAAACTATCCTGTGTGATGTGGTAATGGTGGATACATGACATTATGCCTTTGTCAAAACTCATGGATTTTATAGCACAAAAGTGAAGTTTAATGTATGCAAGTTAAAAAAAAAGTGATTAGGAAATTCCGTGATGGAATGAAGATTATTATAAAACAATCCAACTATGGATTATAAAAACGTATGAATGCTTGGGAGACAAATGTTGCAGACATTGTAAATGATTGATATATGTTAGAATAAATGCAAAAGCATTATAAATAAACAATGTTCTCTAGTTAATATTGAATTTTTAAAAATTTTCCATGGCCGTATAGGTCAACAATTATAATAACACCATATAAAACACTAAAATTTTTAAAATTAAGTGAATACGTGGCAGATATTGGGAACGAATCTACTATTTCACTTCAACATCCTTCCATTAGTAACTTACTCATCCAGCAGACAGAAATCAATATGGATATACCTAACCTGAACAGCACTACTAACTTGATAAATGACATTTATATAATACTTTTTCTAATATCAGGATATATATTCTTTTTCAGCTCACATGAAACTTCAACCAAAAGAGACACATTCTGGGCCATAAGACACAGTTAGATGAAGTAAAAAGTAGAATTATACAACTCATATTATCAGATAATAATGTTGTTAAACTAGAAAGCAATAATAGAAACATAGCTGCAAAATCTTAAAATATTTAACAATTAAACAAAACACTTCTAAATAACACGTCAAAAAATGTCTCAGTAGAAATTGAAAAATATTTTAAAATAAATGAATATATAATTTATCAAATTTTTTGAATTGCAATAGAAGTTGTGCTTAGAGAAAAATACTTAGGTTTAAAAATGTATATTAAAAATCAATAATCTATGCTTACAACTTAGGAAACTGGAGGGAGGAGAGCAATTTAACCCCTAAATGAAGAAAAATAATCAAATAAAATTGAATCAGAAATAAATGTAATGTAAAAACAGATCAATAAATTAGAGAAGCAGCAAGCAGGCCAGTATGGCAGAAGTTGAGTGAGCCACAGGAGAGTGCCAGAAGAGGTTGATGGTTGATTAAAGATATCAGAGGCCAGTTCACCTCAGAAGGAAGATCAGAGTTACTGGTGAATATATTAGTTCTGAATGGAAAACTGAAAGAAGAGAGTCAGGGCCTATTGGAGCATCCATGGGAAGAAACTGGGGTGCAGAAAAGGAAAGCAGCAATAGTCCTGCAGAAATTAACCCCTGAGAAACTCAAATACCACAGAAACGGTAGATGGGAGTGCTTCTCTGCTCCTCTCACCTCTCTGACAATCTAATGACTGCCAAACTGTTGGGGAGCCCCTCTGCCCTCATGATTCAGGGCAATGCTATTTGTGATGATTCAGGAAATTCTCAGGGACAGAGAACTGGGGGACCAGCTCACACAGATTACCCTCACTCCGCTCAGACCCAAACAGATTTGACAGGTGTCATACTAGTTGTGCAGCCATTATGGGTCATTGCCCTTTCTGAGGATTCTTTGCCCTTGAGTTACCCCTTGAGTTACCACACCACTAGATCCCCTGCAAACACACCCCACAACCCACTCTGACTTTGGCAAGCACAGGGCACTGATGGGTCCTCAGAGAGCTATGGGACACCTGGAGATTTAACACTCGGTGTGGGCTACCCCTAAGGAAGAGAGGGGCACAGTCCACCAAAGCTCCCCTCAGGACAAAGAAAATGTGGGCATGGTGCCAGTCTCTTAAGGTGTCAACACTGGCACCCCAAAAGATATAAGAAGAGGGGATTCTCTCCCACCCCCTGCACAGTATTGCAGACACAGCGGTGGTTCTTCCAACTGGGGACCAGTGTGTGTGCACTTTGAGAAAGTGTATTTTGGGCTTTTTGCAATAGCTCTATCATGACCAAAAAGTTTTTCACACTGCTTGGTCTTACACAAAGGATGGGACCCAACTGCCTCTCACTACACAGAGTGTCAGTTTCCCAGCAACAGAATGTGGACAAGTCACAGAGTTGCCTGCTCTGGACTGGGGGAAGAAGCCGTGCCCCAAGCCCATTTTGGTGGTAACCATCAGAGAAGCATATCCACAGCCTGCAGCTGCACTGCAACTAGGAACCAAAGGACAAAGTATGAACTGAAGGTCATGAGTCCTACATCAGAGGTGTGACAGCAAAGCTGATCACATTCCTGCAAGCTCAGGATGAGAAGTTGGCACACCCTGTGTTTCCCTAAAATTTCAGTACACCCCAACACAATCTCTTCACAGCCCCTCCATCAGGATGGGGGTTTCCACTGGATATCAGCCTACCTGAAGGTGAGCCAGCTCTTAGCTCTTGAGCACTGTCTACTGGACTGCAGGATGAACTGCACCACCAAATTACAAACCTGCTACCAGAAAGGGGTTAGTGCCAGTCTACAAGATAAGCTTCCTGAGACCTCTGTATTCTCAGCTCTGAGCTCTGCAGGCTAATATATCACTAAAACAACATCTGATGAAGCCACCATACCATAGCTATCTACAATCAAGGAAACCATACAGAGGATGACCTCCTGAAAGCACCCAGAAGCAAAGTCAAACAATCATACACAATATAAACCACAGTCATACCCCCAAGGTAGAAAAGCATTAAAAAATTAAGAAGTCCTAGGCTGGGCGCAGTGACTCATGCCTGTAATCCCAGCACTTTGGGAGGCTGAGGTGGGTCGATCACCCGAGGTCAGGAGTTTGAGAACAGCCTGGACAACATGGTGAAACCCTATCTATACTAAAGGTACAAAAATTAGCGAGGAATGGTGGCAGGCACTTGCAATCCCAGCTATTCAGGAGGCTGAGGCAGAAAAATCGCTTGAACCCAGGAGGCGGAAGTTGCAGTGAGCCGAGATCGTGCCACTGCACTCCAGTCTGAGCGACAGAATGAGACTACATCTCAAAATAAAAATAAAAATAAATAAAAATTAAGAAGTCTCATAGAAATGTTAGCAAATTAAATTGCAATTAAGAAAAAAAAAAGAAGTGACTTCTCCCTCAAATGAGGAATCACCACAAGAACTCCAGCAATACAAAAAGCCAGAGTGTCTTCACACCTTCAAAGCATTACACTAGCTCTCTAGCAATGGATCTCAATTGAAAAGTCTAAAATGACAAAGAAATAATTCAAACTATGGATTGCAAGAAAACTCAATGAGATCCAAGGGAAAGTTGAAATCCAACACAAGAAAACCAGATAAATGATTCAGAATAAAAAATACAAGATAGCTATATTAAAAAAGTAGAACTTCTGGAATTGAAAAATTTACTAACTAAATTCCAAAATATAGTTGGAAGCTTTAATAATAAACTCCACAAAGCAGAAGAAATAATTTTAGAACCTGAAGACTGGTCTTTTGACTTAATCCCATCAGACAGAAATAAAGAATATTTAAAAACAAACACAACTTTTGAGAAATAAGGGATTACATACTCTGACCAAACCTATAATTTATTGGCAGTCCTGAGAGAAGAAAAAAAGTAAGAAATTTGGGAACTATAATTGAGAGAATAATTCAGGAAAATTTCCCTAGTCTTGCTAGAGTGGTCAATATCCAGATATGAGAAATTCCAAAAAGACTTTTGAGATACTATACAGGATGACCATAGTCAGGGCATATAGTCATCAGACTATCCAAAATCAGTGTAAAAAAATTAACAAATAACAACAACAACAAAAACCTTTAAAGGCAACTGGAGAAAAGAGCCAAATCACCTATAAAGAAAATCACAGCAAATTAACTGAAGATTTCTCATTAGAAACCTTACAATCCAAAAGAGTTTGGGGGCCTATTTTTAGCCTTATTTAAGAAAAAGTAGTCCAGCAAAGAATTCCACATCCTGATAAAATAGGTTTCATAAATGAGGAAGAAACAAAATCTTTCCAAGTCAAGCAAACACTAGGGGAATTTGCCATTACCAGACAAGTCCTATAAGAAATACTCAAAGGAGTTCTAAACATGGAAACAGTAGAACTATACTTGCTACCATAAAAGCACATGTAAGTACAAAGCTCACAGATCCTATAAAGCAATTACACAATTGAAACTTCAAAGCAAGCAGCTAATATCACTATGACAGGAATAAAAACACACATTTTGTTGGTCAAAATATTCACCAACATGTCAATATTAACTTTGAACATAAATGGCCTAAATTTTCTACATAAAAGACATAGAGTGCCAAATTGGATTACAAGAACAAAACAAACAAACAAACAAAAAAACAAGACCCAAAATTCTCCTGCCTTAAAGAGAACCATCTCATGTGTAAAGACTCCCATAGGCTCAAAGTAAAGGAATGGAGAAATATCTATCAAATAAAGAGAAAGCCAAAATGAGCAGGGGTTGCTATTCCTGTATGAGATAAAATAGATATTAAACTAACACCAGTATAAAAATACAAAGAAAGGCCTTACATAATGATAAAGAGTTCAATTTAACAAGAAAATTTAACTGTCCTAAATATATATGCATCCAATACCACAGCATGCAGATATTTATAAAACAAATACTTCTAGACCCAATAAAAGTACCAAGAGATAGACAGCCATACAATAATAGTAGGGGACTTCAACACCCCACTGACAGTACCAGACAGATTATTGAGACAGGAAAACAGTAAAGAAACTTTAGATTTAAACTGGACTCTTGACCAAAGAGCCTAATAGCCATCTATACATCTATACTCCATTCAACAACCATAGAATGTACATTTTTTTCTCATCTGTGCATAGAACATTCTTTAAAGCTGACCAGGTTTAGTCATAATGCAAGTCTCAATAATTTTTCAAAAAATCAACATTATATCAAGCATCTTCTCAGACCACCATGAATGAAATTAGAAATCAATATCAAGATAAACTTTTGAAACCACATAAATCGTGGACACTAAACAACTTGGTCCTAAATGACTTTTAGGTAAGCGACAAATTTTACAAATCAATTTTTTGAAACAAATGAAAATAGAGGGAAAACATACCAAAATCTTTGGATACAAGAAAAGCAGTGTGAAGAGAAAAGTTTACAGCACTAAATGTCTGCATCAAGAAGATAGAAAGACATCACATTTACAACCTAATATCACATTTCAAGGAACTAGAAAAACAAGAACAAACCAAATATAAGCTAGAAGAAGAAAAGAGGTAGCAAGGATTACAGCAGAACTAAATGTAATTGAGATAATAAAAAACTATACAAAGGATCAATGAAACAAGAAGTTGCTTTCTCGAAGGGACACAGAATTGATACAGTGCTAGCCAGATAAACCAAGAAAGAAAGAGAGAAGATTCAAATAAGAAAAACTAGAAATGACAAAGGTGACATTATAACTGTTGCCACAGAAATACAAAAGATCTTCGGAGACTACTGTGGTTAGCTCTATGTGCACAAACTAGAAAAAACTAAAAAAAAAAAAGATAAATTCCTGGAAACATACAAACCCCCAAGACTGAACCAGAAAGAAATGGAAAACCTAAACAGACCAGTAACCAGTTATGAAATTGAATAAGTAAAAAAAAAGAAGAAACAACTACCAATAATAATAATAGTAAACCCTTGAGCAGATGGATTCACAGCTGAATTTTACCAGATATGCACAGAAGAGATAGTATAAATCTTACTGAAACTATTCCAAAACAATGGAGGAAGAAGTATTTCTCCCTAACTGGTTCTATGAAACCAATATTATCCTGATACTATAATCTGGCAAGGCCACAGCAAATAAAGAAAATGATAAGCCAATATCCCTGATGGACATAGACCCAAAAATTTTAGACAAAATACTGGCCAGTAACATATCAAAAAGTAAATCTATCATGATCAAGTGGGTTTTCTTCCTAAGATACACAGATGGTTCAGCATAAAGAAATCAGTAAATGAGATTCACCACATAAACAGAATAAAAAGGAAAACCATATGATTATCTTAGCAGGTGAAGAAAAGACCTTTGATAAAATTCAACATCCTTTCATATTAAAAACTATCAATAAACTAGGTACTGAAGGAACATATCTCAGGATAATAAGAGCCACTCATGACAAAATCACAGTTAACATCACACTGAATGGGCAAAAGCTGGAAGCATTCCCATTGAGAACTGGAATAAGACAAGGATATTCTCTCTCACCACTACTATTCAACATAGTACTGGAAATCCTATTCAGAACAATCAGGAGAGAGAAAGAAGTAAAAGGTATCCAGATAGGAAAAGAGGAAGTAAAATTATCTCTGCTTGAGGATGATATGAGCCTATACATAGAAAACCCTAAAAATTCCTCCAAAAGATTCCTGGGTTTGATAAATAACCCTTATAAACTTTCAGGATACAAAATCAACAAACAAAAATCAGTAGCATTACTGTATAATCAAATGATCAAGCTGAGAACCAAATCAAGAATTCAATTCCATGTAAAATAGCTACAAAAAAAACCTAGGAATACATTTAACCAAGAGGGGGAAAGATCTTTACAAGGATAAGTATAAAACACTGATAAAAGAAATCATAGATGACACAAACAAATGAAAAACATTCCATATTAATGGATTGTGAGAATCAATATCATTAAAATGACCATGATGCCCAAAGCAATCTACAGATTCCACACAATTCCTATGAAATTACCAATGTCATTTTTTATGAAATTAGAAAAAAATGTAAAATTTATATGAAATCAAAAAAGAGCCCAAATAGCCAAAGCAATTCTAAGCAAAAATAATGAAACTAAAAGCATCACACTACCCAACTTCAAACCATACTACAAGGTTATAGCAACCAAAAAAGCATGACACTGGTACAAAAATAGACACATAGATCAATGGCACAGAATAGGGAACCCAGGAATAAAGCCACACACCTATAACCAACTGATTTTCGACAAAGTTGACCAAAACAAACAATGGTAAAAGAATATCCTATTCAATGATTGGTGCTGGGAGAACAGGCTAGCCATATGCAGAAGAATAAAACTGGACTCCTATCTATCATTATATATAAAAATTAACTCATTATGGATTTAAGACTTAAATGTGAGACCTGAAACTCTAAAAATCCTAGAAGAAAACCTAAAAAAGAAACAAAAAAACTATTCTGCACATTAGCCTAGACAAAGAATTTATGTCTAAGACCTCAAAAGCAAATACAATTAAAACAAGAACAGGAAAATGGGACTTAATTAAACTAAAAAGCTTTAGCACACAAAAGAAACAATCATCAGAGTAAACACACAACCTACAGAATGAGAGAAAATATTTGCAAACTATGCATCCAACAAATAATGCATATCTGCAATTTATAAGGAACTTCAGTAAACCAACATGCAAAACAAACAATCCCATTAAAAAGTGGGCAAAGGACATGAACAGACACTTCTCAAAAGAAGACATGCAAGTGGCCGAAAAAACATGGAAAAATCTCAACATCACTAATCATCAGAGAAATGTTATTAAAACCACAGTGACATATAATCTCACACCAGCCAGATGACTATTTTTTAAAAGTTAAAAAAACAAACAAACAACAACAACAAAAACAAAAAACAGATGTTGGTGAGGAGGTGGAGTAAAAGGAATGCCTATACACTGTTGCTGGGAATGTAAATTAGTTTAAGCCCTATGGAAATTAGAATAGATATTTTTCAAAGAACTAAAAATTGAACTACCATTTAACCCAGCAATCCCACTACTGGGTATCCAGCCAAAGGAATAGACATTGTTTTATCAAAAAGCCATCTGTACTCATGTGTTTATCACAGCACTACTCACGTTGCAAGTCATTGAATCAATCTAGGTGTCCATCACCAGTGGATTGGATAAATGTGACATATACAATGGTGTATGAATATACACCATGGAATACACTACGCAGCCTTAGAAGAGAAAGAAATTGTGTCCTTTGAAGCAGCATGGATGCAACTGGAGGCCATTATTCTTAGCAAACTAATGCAGAAAAAGAAAAGTCAAATACTGTGTGTCCTCACTTATTAGAAGGAGCCAAATGTTGGGTACACATGGACATAAAGATGGAAACAACAGACACTGGTGATGGCAAAAAGGGGGAGGAAGCGAGGGAGGCAAGCTTTCAAAAAGTACCTTTTGGGTCCTATATTGACTATTTTGGTGATAGGTTCACTTGAAGCCCAAACTCTAATGTTATGCAATATACCCATGTAACAAACGTACACACGTACCCCCTGAATCCACAACAAAAATTTTAAAAAAATAAAAACAAATTAAAAATTGATAAACCTGTAGTGAAGCAAACCATGAGAAAAAATAAAAGAGACAGAAATGACCAAATATCATGAATGAATATGGTGGCATTATTACTGATTCATGTTCATTAAAATAATGTGTTAACATTTGTTCGCTCTGTTAGCTAGACAGTCTTTAAAGTAATAGCACCACATTAGCAGTGAACAAACCTAGTGCCCAAATTTTGGTTTGTAATATGATTCTACAATTAAATAAATCAGCACTCTTGGGAAAATGACTAATGCTACAACTGAGGCAGGAAATACGAATAACAAGGCTGAGATTCATGACTTGATGTTCAATCCGCGCCCCCTGCCATACAAATACAATGATAAAAGTACATCAAAGGAACATAGAAGACAGCTGAAAGAGTTACCGGTGACAAAAGTTTGAAAATTTTCAGCCAAGAATCTAAGAAATAATGAATCATAACCTATAGTATAAAATAAATATTCTGTTAATGTGGTGTATCATAGAGATTCATCTATCTAAATTTAACCAACCATTCATCCCTGGGATAAACCCTATTTGGTTATGATGTATAATATTTTGATGTTATTGAATTCAGCTTGTTAATATTTTATTTAGGATGTTCACATCTATGTTCATCAAAGTTATTAGCCTGTGGTTTTCTTTTCTTCTGGTCTCTTTGTCTGGCTTTGGTATCTGGGGATGCTGGCCTTATAAATTTTGAAGTATCCTCTTCCCTTTATTTTTTGGAAGAGTTTAAGAAAGATTAGTATTAATACTTCTTTGTATGTTTGGTAAAATTGAACCATCAAGCCATCTTCTCCTGGACGTTTTTTGGGGGAGAATATTTTAATGACTGCATCAATCTATTTCTTACAAGTCTGTTTGTGCTTTATTTTTCTTTTTAATTCTATATAGTTAGGTTGTATGTTACCAAGGATTTACCAGTTTCCTCTAGGTTATCCAATTTGTGTGTGTGTGTGTGTGTGTGTATTATAATACTTCTTTAGGATCCTTGTCATTTCTGAAATGTCCATTATAACATTTCCACTGTCATTTAACCTTATATATTTAAGTCTTTTTTTTGTTTAGTCTAGTCAAAGTCTTGTCAAATTTATTTATTTTTAAAAAACCAACTTGTTCCTTTTCTATAATTTTTCTCTTCTCTACTTATGTCTGCTCTGATTTTTATTTCCTTCTGTGAACTTGCAGTTTAATTTGTTCTTCTTTTTCTAGTTCATCTAGGTGTGCTACCAGGTTGTTTACTTAAGTCCATTCTTCTCTTTTATGTAGTCATTTATCACAACAAACTTTCCTCTTAGAACTGCTTTTGTTTTATCCAATTGGCTTTGGTATGTTGTGTTTCCATTTTCATTTCCTTCAAGATCTGAAATATTTATCTTTCTTTCTTCTTTGGCTTATGGGTTATTCAGGAGTGTTTTAATGTTCACATATTTGTAAAATTTTAAGTTTTCCTCCTGATATTGATTTCTAGTTTCAAACCATTGTTGTTAAAAAAAACAGTTTATATAATTTCATTCATCTTAAGCTTGTTAACAGTTGATAATAGCAACAGCTGTGATCTATCCTGAAAAATGTGTTGTGTGTGCCTCAGAAGAATGTGTATTATGTGGCTTTTTGATGGAATGTTCTGTATACATCAGTTAGGTCCATTTGGTCCACCATGTAGTCGAAAGTCCACTTGATTTCTTTCTGGATAATCTACCCATTGTTGATTAAGGTTATTGAAGTATCTTATTATTATTGTGTTGCTGTCTATTTTTTCTTTCAAATATGTCAATATTTGCATTTCATATTTAGGTGCTCTGATGTTAGGTGGGTATTTATTTATAATTGTTACATCTTACTCTTGAATTGACCCTTGTATCATTATATAATGGCCTTCTTTGTTTCTTGGGATTGTCTTTCACTTGACTATCCTGTCCAATATAGTTTTAGCCATTCCTGCTCTTGTTTAGTTTCCATTTGCATGAAATATCTTTTTCTTACACTTTCAATCTATGCATTTCTTAAAGATGAAGTAGGCCGTTCATAGGCAGCATATAGTTGGATTTTGTTGTTTTATCTATGCAGCCACAAGGTGCCTTTTAATTGGGGAATTTAATTTATTTACTTTCAAAGCAAGTTTTGATAGTTAAGGCTTTACTACTATCATTTTGTTAAATTTTCCTTTACTTTTTGTATTTGTTCATTTTTTTTCTATCTTCCTGTCTTTTTAATTTGATGCTTTTCTGTAGTGGTATGTTTCTATTCTTTTCTTTTTATCATTTATGAATCTACTAATAGGTTTTATGGATACCATTAGGGTTACATAAAACATCTTATATTTTACAAGTCTATTTTAACTTGTAACAAATTAACTCCTTCCTTCCTTCCTTGCTTCCTTCCTTCCTCTCTTCCTCTTTCTCCTTCCCTCCTTCACTCCTTCCCTCCTTCCCTCCTTCCCTTCCTGCCTTCCTGCCTTCCTGCCTTTTTTCCTGTTGTTGTTGTTTTTTGATGGGGTCTCGCTCTGTTGCCCAGGCTGGAGTATACTGGTGTGATCACAGCTTAGTGAAGCCTCAGCCTACTGGGCTCAAGAAATCCTACCGTCTCAATCCTCCCTGTGTCTGGGACTACAGGCATGCATCACCAGGCTTGGTTAATTTTCTTTATTTCTTGTAGAGACAAGGGCCTCACTGTGTTGCCCAGGCTGGTCTCAAGCTCCTGAGCTCATGCGATCCCATTGCCTCAGCCTCTCAAAGTACTGTGGTTACAAACATGAGCTACCACACTTGGCCAAATTGAGCTATCCATATGTTTATTATTTCATCAGCTCCTTGGTATCTGCATATTGTGCTTATTGATATGACAAACAGAAATGACTTGAATGAATAATTTTATAGGTGCATGAATGGAACAAAATAAAGATGAATTAATAAGTGGCATATCAATTAGTTTATACTCTGCCTTCATTCTGATTGTCTGTTTTATATATTTTAATCATTAAGTTTAATATCTTTGAGTTGTTAATGTGTGAAAAGCACTATTCTTGAGGTTTAAACTGATTAACCTTTAAAATCACACCAATCATATTTATAAAATATCTTTTTAATGTAGATTTGAAGACTAGACATTAGGTGATTTATCACTAGTCAAAAATGAAAAATTGGACAAATGAGACATATCTACCATCATATACAAAGAATTTGTACTTTTATCCCCCATAATATGTTATTTCATTTCATGATGAACTGTGTTGATAGGTACATTGATAGAAGATTTAACATTTTTCTGTTGTCTGGGGTTTGTAATATGACAATATTCTATTATCATTGCAAAAATAAAAATAAAAGCAACCATCAGTTAATATTTCCTTTCCCTTTTGGCTATATTTTACTTATATATAATAACAGGAAAACTCATATAGTTTATAGATATATTATTTCACAAATCTAAATTAACTCACATAGTAATAATTTAAATTTATTTTAACATAAAAACCTTTTTGTGCCAATTAATATTATGCATACATTTGTTAGGTCTATTTGGTCTAGAGTTGAGTTTAAGTCTGATGTCTCTTTATTGATTTTCTTGGTCTGGCTGATCTGTCCATTGTAGAAAGTGGAGTGTTGAAGTCCCCTATTGTTATTAGATTGCAGTCTATCTCTTTCCTTCAATTTATTAATATTTGCCTTATATATGTATGTGTTCCAATGTCATGTGCATATGCATTTATAATTGTGATATGCTATAGCTGAAGTGACCTCTTTATTTCTTAAGGACAGCTTTCCTGGGAATATTATATTTTTTTTCTTTAGCACTATAAATATTTTATTCCATTGTCTCCTAACTAAAGTTTCATTAAAAAGTCTACTGCTAGTCATATTGGAAATCATATGCCAATATGACTGATATAAACTCATATGAATTTATTGCTTGTTTTATGTTCCTTTTTCCCCCTCTGATAATTGAAAGCTTAATTATAATATGTCTTTCTTTTAGACTGAATTCTGTTGGAGACCTTTGACATTCCTGTACCTTGATATTTACACTTTTTTCCAGATCTAGAAAGTTTTCTGCCACAATTTTTTAGATGTAATTTTTATCCTTTCATCTTTTAATTATCCATCTTTACTTGATGACTTCAAAGTTTTCTCTTTTGATGCTGTCCCAAAAATCTTATACAGTTTTCATTTCTTTTCATTATTTTTTCTCTTCTGATTCTATATTTTCAAATAACCTGTGTCAAGTTCAGATTTCTTCTTCTGCTTGACTAATTCTCCTCCTGTGGATGCTCTCTATTGCATTTTTACTTTGTTGATTTTATTGTTCAACTCCAGAATTTCTGTTTTATTTTTCTTATTATTATTTCATTTTTTCTGTTAATCCTTTTCTTCTAGCTGCTTATTGTTTGCCTCATTTCATTGATTTGTTTCTCTCCAAAGTTTGGTGATCTTCTTTAAAATGAGTACTTTGATTAACTGTCAGCTGCTCATATATCTCCATTCCTTTAGGATCAGTAAATAATACCTTATTTTTTATTCCTTTGCTGCTGTCATTTTCCCCTGATTTTTCATAATTCTTGCCTTACAGGCCAATGTCTGCACATTTGAATAAATAGATACTTATTTCAGGATTCCCAAACTGGTTTTGTCTGGGAAAGTCCTGTGGCTACCATGGAGCAAAACTCTGCCAAAACTGTGGGGCTCCTGAGGCCCGCCTGCTGCTGAGGGCTGTCCTGAGCCTGGGATTACTGACACTGGCCAAGTAATGGTGTAGAACAAAGATGGGATTGCAATGTAAGCCTGAAGCCTCACACAATATGGTCCTATGTGTTGCCTTTGTGGGCTCAGTCCATGTGTACTGGCCTAAAATACGGAGTCTTCCTGGTGCTAGGTTATACTGTGGCAAGCCTAATGTTGGGGTTCATGGCAATTTTTTATGTTCATGTCCCTCTCTTTTTCTCAAGCAGACTGTTTGTTATAGTGCCTGAGGTTGGTGGAGGAGTATCATGGCTGACACAAAGCAGTTTTCTACTCTCTTCAATACATTATTTCTTATTATTGTGCTACAAGAAGATACTATAATTTCTCAACTGGTTTTCCTAGCTCTTCTGAAGGTATTTTCATCTGTGGATAGTTTGAATAAATGTTTCTGGGGAGATGATCACTGGAGAACCCTTCTTTGTCCTGTTGCTCCACCCCTCACATGCTTTTTTAGTGTTTGTGGACGAGGAACTTATAACAATTCCAATTGTATGGATCTGCGTCTTGTTTTCTCATGAAGCTAAAATCAAAGTGTTGGCCAGGGCTGTAATCTTTTAAAGGCTTGACAGGGACTGACAGTTTGACTAATGCCTGCAAATCGGCATTGGTTGTTGGGAAGAAAGCTCAGCTCTAACCCACATCTGCTTCTCTACCAACTGTTTCAGCCTCCTTCTATCATGGTAGTGTCATTTTCTTTTGGTCTTTTACCTGGAATTGTGTAATTCTTTTTCATACTCTCCTGCCTTTTTGTGATGAGACTGATGACGTTATTGTATAATATTTTGAAATTTGGGTTTCTTTAGTTGTTTTCCCTCATTTTGGTGTGATTCCGATGATATGGAATTCCCATTCCATAAAATCAGGTAGGAAATTTAAGTTATTAGAGAAAGTTTTACAAAGAGACATTCACCTTTTCAAATAATAGAGCTACAGGAAATGTATTGAGTGGGGAATAAGAAATACTAGCATTTATTCAATGAGGTTTAAGAGGAAATAATCAGAATAAAGGTGTGAATGGATTATTTCCTGTTGCATAAATCTACCCATTTTTATTGATTTTGCGAAGAAAATATCATCATGTTTATCAAATTGGCCTAACCTTACCTGAAAGCTAAACAACATTATAGAAAATCACCTAGAAATAACTGACCAGTATTTAAAATTAGGCAATATTTAAAATTTCAGTAATGGCATCTGTCTTAGTCCATTTGGGCTGCTATAACAAAATATCAAAGACTGGGTAATTTGTTGATAATGTGAAATTATTTCTCACAGTTCTGAAGATGGAGAAGTTCAAGGTCAAGGGGCCATCAGTTTTGGTGTCCAGTAAGAACCTGTGCTTTCTTGATTCATCATCACGTGGTAAAAGGGGAAAAAAGAAGTGAAGTGTTTTCTTACAACTCTTTTATAAGGTTATTAATCTTGATTTTGTTTCAGCAACAAATATACTTAGGTCATTAACTTCACTCATGATACTTCAGCCTTTATAATATAATCACTTCCTAATACAGTTACTACTATCACAGTGGTTATTAAGTTTAAACATATGAAGTGTGGGGGTACCATAGCAACACTTCAACTAATAATTAAAATTAAAGTAATACTGACATCTAAAATGGTGAGATTTTCAAATGTCTTTCTTACATATCAGTACTATCTGATACACTAAACAAAATTTGGCGTTGCTATGCATTTATTTTACATTTTTATGCTTTTTGCATTAATTTAAATGGTACTTTTTTCATAAAAGTCTGCTATTATTCACATAACTTTTATGTAGGATAATTCCATTCCTGTCATAAAGCATAAATGACACTGGCACCTGCCTGTTGTATCAAAGTTTCACAGAGTTGGATTAGTAGTTAACATAGGAAGTTTGTGCTGTCTATTATGTACAAATTTTGTGGCACTTTACAGATAATATTTAGTTACCTTTTCTCTTATAAATAGATACTATGATTCAATTTTATTGATGAAGACATTTAGTTTAAGAGATTGTAATTATAATCTTACTGAGTTTATTGAATCTAGGTTTCACAACTTCTGTAGTCTTATCTTTTGTTCATCTACCAACTTTCTCTTCCAAAGATAACTGAGTTTGATATATTGTTCATCGTCAAGTGTATTCATAATAATCTATAAATTGCAGTATACTCCTTAACAGAAAGATTTAATAAAATGATGGCCAACATATTCATTTCATCCTACCTAACTTTTCTACTTTCTGCACTCTTTTTAGATAAGACTGCTTTGCAAATTTACATTCTTCTTTGATAATATTGTTTTGGGCTCAAAAACTTCCCTTTATTATTAGTCCAGAAGTCTTAATTACAAATATCTTATGTAGAGAATTGTGTATCCTGACATTATATTTTCCTTACAGATTGTGTTAGAGTCAATCCCAGTTATTTAATATTTAATACCTAATATTTTGTTCAGATATTATTGTTGCTAAATTAAGTGTAAACATTTTTAAATGAGACTATCAAAACAAGTCATCTGTGGGAGAACACATAAGAAGCATAATTTTAATTGAACCAGAGTCTTTTCTATATTACTATTAAACTCCACAAAATAATAATTTAAGAAAGTTAAAGTATGCATTATTAAAAATTAACAACATAATTTACCAATATATCTGTTTATCCCTTTAATATAAGTTATGAAACTCCCTTGCCACTTAATTTTAATTAAAATATATTTTTTTCTACAGTAACATACAATAAAATAACGATTAAAATTTTATAGTATTTTTTCTTCTATGTTTTTCCTAATTATCAATTTTAAGAGTCATTTAAAATGATTTATTTCTGAACCCCACAGTTTCCATCCTGTATTCTTGAAGGTTTAATAAGAAAATATCTTCAGATAATTGGTTGATATGGTTTTACTCACAGCATGGTCTGACACATTTGACAATGATTCTGTTTCTGACATGCCTAGTAATAAGTAATGTGTCCTTATTTATGGACAATTTCTAATTTTGTCTTTAATGATATAAATAAGAGATGTAAAATAATACCATATCATCCTTTTAAAAAATAAAGAAATGAGGAGGGAAAATCCTAAAAACCAATATTTTATTTAAATTATGAATGTTTGTTTACAGATAAATAAGAAAGATAGGGGATACAGGAGATCAATAAATGATAGAACATCTATTCTATGATCTCATTATGGAAATAATGCCTTATTCATATTCCAGACAGCAGTGTGGGGCACTTATAGAATAGACCGGTTTCTGTCTGTCAGGAGAAAATGGAGATGTATTTTAACAGACTTCATAAAATGATAATTGCATTGCAAAAACAAACAAACATATACACACACAAAAAAATACTAATAATGCTTGGCACTAGAAAGCGGCATCTGTGGTAATCACTGCAACTGGCTTCTCCCACAGTACTTGACAGGGCTATCTGGCAACAATCTGTTTAACAATTTGACCAATGAAAATAAATTGGATACAAATAGCCCATGACCAGTATAAGATCTAACTCAACTTGGAAGTTGGCAGGAAGACATGATGGTACAGAGAGATAGTGCCTTTGAAACAGCTGAGGAGGTCATGGGAAACGCTGAAGTATTTTACGTTGTAGTAACTCAACTATGTGCTTCATTTTTAACTGTTCAGAGTCTTTTATAGTCACATAATTATACCATCTTTTTATCCATTTTTAAAACATATCAAAAACACGTATCTACAGTCACTATTCTAAAAACGGAATACCTCATCAGACCATTCCAACATTCAAGATGATGAGAATTTACTACTACTCTCTTTAGGTAAGGGGGCTCAGGCTAAAGCACCATGGTCTATCCAGGCAGTTTTGTAAACTTCCAAGGCATTCAGGTCTGAAATGCTGCCCCCGTGTCGTGCTCAAAGTTCTGCTTCTTACATATCATCTAAGCCTACCAGGAATTAAATGGTCTTGGGGAAATTCTCTAAAATCTTTCAAAAAACAATTTACAGCAATATTCCTCAGCTCCACCCTTTAATGTTGACACTTTAACTTCTTTAGGAAATAAACTCAGAGACTTTTCTAATGATTAAATAGAAAAACTCAATGCTATTGCTCATTGGGTCATTCCCTGGAGGATCATAGTTTTCTTTAATCTTGTATTGATAAATACAAAGGATCATTTGATAAAATACTAGGACTTAATAAGACTCAGGAACAAAAATGAATTCTCTCTAAACCCTAACACCTCTCTGTATTTAAAAGGCTTACCTCCACTACCAAATTCCTCTTTATATGGCTTACTCGCTGCAAAGTAATACATGTTGAAATGTAGTCACATCAAAAAATATTTTTCAATTTCTATTTCTATTTAGCTATGCAACTAAGCATGTTACTTATCCCCTCTGTGCAACAGTTTTCTCAAACTTAGGACAAATCGTTTTGACATAATAATATATATTTTCACTTTTTTTTACTTTAAAATTTTATTCCTGCAGTTGAAAAAAAAATATTTTAAAATATCCCTGAGTGACATTTAGCAGTAACTTGTCAAAAGAAAATTGGATTATTGCGACCTATTAAAACAAATTTCCATCAGAAATGCCAAACCATCAATGCATATCCAAGTGTTTCACTGTGAGCTTGCATGAAACTGTATCAGTTTTACTTAATAAGATTTATTGAAGGGGAATGAAATTTTATTTGTCTTGATTTTGCATGAATAGATCAAAATGTTGAAATATCAAAAATGAGGGGGAAAATAAATATAAACAGGAAGATAGTTTTGAATTTTACATTGTTATTTCTCCATTTTTTTCTCCAAGCAACTGTTTTTCAATTTTTTGTTTCCAATAGTTTCCAGTTATGTACAGCCTGGTACTAAGTGAGTTAAAAATAACTTTGGGAGTTTCAGAATTATTTAACTTGACATTTATATGGCCCAAGAAGTCTAAGTAAAATGACTGTATTTTAATATATGTATAAGGCAGATAATTTATAATTCTCCTGGATTTCTTTTAGATATGCTTTATAGTGACAAAATAGCTTTCACTAATCTAAGATTTTAGTTTGTGGCAGTTGTTTCAGAGAGCTTAATGCTCCAAATGCATGTCATGGAAAACAGGGGAATGTAGAGATAATGTACTTATACATGAAAAAATAATCTCTATTCATAGTTCAGCAAGACTTCTATATAACAAAAGAAACTAAGAAAATTTAATGAAATGCATGTGCTAAATTCCCCCCATCTCTGTAAATAAAATGGATTCTAAGAAGCTGAAAGATACAATTTAGAACCTGCGAAATTCATGACTTGAAACTTAAACTCCATGTGGTGGTATTAAGAGGTGTGGCTGCCATATGAGGACACAGCGTTTGTCTCCTTTTGCCCTTTTTATCCCTCCCACCATGCGAGGCACCTAGATGGTGCCTTCTTACAATAACACAATCTCTTTACACAGTAACTAGTCAATAGATAATTACTAAATTGTATTGATTAGGCTGCTTGCTGTCTTTGTGCCACTACAACAAAATACCTGAGGAAAATTTATGAACAGCAGAAATTTATTTCTCACAGTTCTGGTTGGGAATAAAGACAACTTGAAAATTACATTTAAGTAGCACAGCACAGAAATCAAGAGTAAATGAAACTGGAAAATATATACAAATTTGTACTTGGGACATAAGCTACTAAGAAACTTTGTAAAATGAGAAGATAAATATGATAATATTATAATTCTCAAAGTGATGGCAATTGAGTTCATAACAAGAGTTATTTTAGAGGCATATAATGATAGATGTCTTATTTCTGGTGGCTCACCTGAGAGCCACACAGGACAGGGGAACCCCCTCCCTCCACCCAAGGGAGGTGGTGAGTGAGCATGCTACCCAGCCAGGGAAACTGTGCTTTTTCCATGGAACTGCACAACCCACAGATTCAAGATCCTGCTCACAAACCCACATCACCAGGGCCTAGCGTCCCAACCCCGGAATGTGTATATTCTTACAAGCAAGTGAAGATGGCAGGTATAAAAATAAAACAACGGCAATGAGAATAATAGTCATAAGTTGTATGGTGCATAAGTGGAAAATCAATAGGTACTTGAGATTACTACAGTATGTTGTAGCAAATCCATAGAACATTTTCTAAATAAAAGATGAACTTTGGGAAATGTCCATTACAAATATTTTTTAAATTTAGTTTTAGCTGATGATCAATGTAATTAATACCCTCAAAGTTGTGAAAACTTGACTTAATGACCCCATCAGAGATATTGAAAATATATTAATCTGTAAATAAATATTAGTTTTCATTATTTCCATTTAATTCTTTTATTGTATTTATTTCAGCCAAACTTTGTCAATGTTTGGAAAATAAATAATTTTTTCATTATAAATGATACAGACTAATCTTCTAACCAATTTTTGGATATTTGCCAGAAAAAAATGTGTCAAAGGAAAGAAAGTAAATGATAAAAATGCTTTATTGAAAGAAGGTCTGAGACCTGGGATATGTAAACATTTCTAACACTTTGCTGCTACAATCCCTAGCCTTTCCCAAAGTAGCAAATAAATAGAAAGTTCTATGCGGTGTTACTGGATATTTCAATTTATTCAGGATGACTTCTCAGACTTCCTTTGTTTTTCTCACTTTGAAAGCATTGAGGTATTTGGGAATATGCCCCTCTAGTGGAATTTGTCTAATTTTTTTCTCATGATTAGAGTGGAGATTTGGGTTTTAGGGTGAAAGATCAAAGAGGTAAAGTGCCATTTTTATTATATCATATTCAGGATACACATTATTATCAACAGGATTCATAATTGTTGATGTTGACCTTGATCACCTGGCTGAAGTAGTATTTGTCAGGTTTCTCCATTACGAAGTTAATCTTTCCCCCTTCAACTTCTTTCTGTACTATTTTGTTTAGAGGTAGTCTCTATACATAGCTCACAGTTAAGGAGTGAAGAGTTATGCTCCCTCTTTTCCATATATTTTAAATAAAATATACAAATAAAAACCATTCTTTGATTATGGGCATTGCATAAACAAACCCTTAGTTTATAGGCTGGATTTGACTTGCAAGCCATAGTTTGTTTACCCTTGATCATTGGTTAATTGTTTTTTCTATTTGTGACAAATGATATATACAGAATGTAAAGATGGTATGTAGTTGCTGACAGGTCCAGAAAAGGACTGTCATACCCTAAAGAAAAGGAGGTCTCATTCGGCTGACCTTGGGGAGTAAAATGTCCCCTAAAACCTTTTAGACCCCTAGAAGGTTCCTGGGGGGCTTCTGCTGGAAAAAAAGCTTGAGAGGCAACTTGAAAACAATTAAGTCACGATGCACTTAAAAAGAAAAGCTGAGAATTAGGTCAGAATTGGACAGGGGGAAAGAACCGTCTCGATGTGTTATGAAGCTTTTCAGAAACTGTTTTCATGATTTTTATCACTGACATCTATTGGAGTAATGTTATTTTTTTATTTGAATATTTAATTTTCAAAGCTAAAGCCTGAGAAATAGAAGCATTTTATCTTTTACAAACAAAAAGAAAAGATGGTATGCAGTAAAATTTATTTCTGAGTCTTGAGTTTTACCTCAATTGCATTTAGGTTTAGAATATACTTGAACTATAATTTTAAGGGTATTTTTTACATTTATAATTTAATACATGATAAATATACTACAGATACATGGTATAAAGTAAAAATTATATATTTATTTATTTTTTATATTGTTAGGCAAATGCCTTCACAATAGCTACTGAATTAAATGCATAATTTTTGTGGTAGGAAGAGGGTTAGGAATTTATTCTTTGTCTACAAAAGGATTCTTATATCCTTGATTCTGCCCACATTATCTGCACTTTGAAATGATTAATTCTGTATAAATATAGATGTGTTGTTTATAAATATAATGCAAAAAATGTGAAAATAAGCATTACTATATTAGGAAGAGGAAATAAGATACGAATTTATCCCTTATAAATTGTTGATGATAGTGAAGAAATATTTTTGATAAAATTTAAACAAATTGCCTCATTCAAAAATAAATATAAGATATGCTCTAAAACTAAAACTTTAGAAGCACTAAATATGCTTAATTTTTAAAATGCATAAAATCCATGCATTTTCCCTATCTGTTTTTAATCTGTCTTTTCTATTTACCTATCTATCTATATCAGAACTTGCAAATAAAATGCTGGTTAAAGCAAGATTCTACAGGTCTCCAGTTAATCACCTCAGTAGAAGTAAAAGGCTTAAAAATAAAAATAAGGTGCTCTTTGAAGCTGTGATAAAATTCAAAGGAGTGTGGCAATTAAAAAACTTTCATAATAAGACAGAAAGGTAAGAATATTTATGAAGACATAAGATTTGAGATGTAAATACATAAAATGACTCATGGTGAGAAAAACTGACATTTTTCAGTTTATATTTATCTTACATGTTTCAAACCTTTATTAGTTTATGTAAGTGTAAATATCTCAAATGACATTTGATATGGTTTGACTGTATTCCTACCCAAGTCTCATCTTGAATTCCCATGTGTTGTGAGAGACACCGAATGGGAGGTAATTCAATCATGGGGGCAAGTCTTTCCCGTGCTGTTCTTGGGATAGTGAATAAGTCTCATAAGATCTGATGGTTTTATAAAAAGGAGATCTCTCTCTTTTTGGCTGCTGCCATCCATTTAAGATGTGCCTTGCTCCTCCTTGCCTTCCACCATGATTGTGAGGCCTCCCCAGCCATGTGGAACTCTAAGTCCAATAAACCTCTGTCTTTTGTAAATTACCCAGTCTCAGATATATCTTTATTAGCAGCATGAATACAGACTAATACAATGTTATTTAAAATTTTTCTGATTTAGAAATTTAGAGCCCAGATGTATAATGTTATTAATGATGGAATAAAACCAAAAATTTTCAGTCTACCTCTTTAGCTACATTGTGAAAAAACAAATATTAACCTAGAAAAAATTATGAGCCAAAAAATCTTATAGTGATTGAAATAATCTTTAAACATACAAACTCAAGCTCTCTGATCATTCCCTAGCTGCCACCTATAACTTTATAGTGAAAGCAAAGGTGTTCATCCATTTATGTAACTAATTAATAATCATATGTTTAAAAATATGCTATTCTTCATTTAATTTCTTTACAAGAGCAAGAAGAATCAAAGCTGGTATAGATTAAAAGAGTTTCAGACTATTCCCCCAACTCTCCCCCACAAAAAAATGGACTACAAAATTTGATGATTATATGAGAAGCCATAGACTTAGTACAAGCTATTTGTACAATTATATATAATAGCTCATATTTCTACCCTAGTCAAATAAGTCTCTCTCGGAACCTCTAAGCATAGATAGTCAACATAAGCATAAACATTTGTTTATGAATTCCATGAGTTTGCAAAAAGCTGGTATTATTTTGTAACTCATTTGCTCACTGACATATTTTGCTATGTTTTTTTTCTGTTCCCGAACCACTATCAGACTATTGTGAGTAGTTTAAGCAGCAATACATTTAATTGATAGTGATGTAAATATTTCCTTCTCACTTTCCTTTATAGAAATATTTCTATGTGCACCGATTTATTCTTCCAAGTGAATTAAGAAAAAACGTAGTCACATTTTCAATTTTTTTAAAATTTTGTTGGAAGTAATACATTTATAATTTTTATAAAACCCTTAAATACATAATTACACTATTGTCATACTAATAAAGAATGTTGAACGTGACAGAGCAGGAACACCATCATCTTGGACAAACATCACCATTTGAAGTTCCAGCTCCCTGTCTACCCTTATGCATTTCTGGGAAATCACTTCTCTTCTAACAACAAGCAGCCTGAAAGAGCAGACAGTATAACACAGATAAGACAGCTCGGGCATGGAAGGAGGAATAAAGTCTCTTGGGTAACCACCAAACTTCATTCTCATACAATGGGCCCCAGTAAAACAGTGGACCCAAATAAGCACATTCTTTTCCCTTTAGGTGCACTAAGATGGGGAAGCTAAAAGCAGACTTGGGGGTTATGCCTGCAGCTGTAGGAAGATGTGTGGATATAGACACAAAACTCTCTCTCCCAGATAAGAAAGACAAAGAGACACAGATACATTCTGAGCCTGTGATAAGCCCTCCTGTCCTGAACCCTTAAATACTCTTAGTCTGTAAGAGAGAGTGCTCCTGAACTAACTTGGCCAGAAGCCCCTCTCAGGTTTATTCTTTAAAATAATCCTGTCTCTGACTGTTAAGCTGCTCTTCATGTTTCTTTCTTCCTTCTTCAACTCTTACAGAAGGAAAAATAGAAGGTGTGAACTTGTTTAAATTTTCTTCTAGAGGATAATATTTAAACAGGTATCTGAAGAGTGCATAACACATCAATATTGATTTTTGTACTTTACTTTGTAAATTGGCTCTTAAGTGGAATCTTATTTTTAGATATAATAGCTTTCCAATTGATTTATCTAAAGTTTAAAGGTAGACTATTATGTCAACTGCTGATAATGGAAATTTTAATCTCTTACAAAATGAATTAGCTAAACTTCCAGGAGATAATAAATCATATTAGTAACTGTGGGTGTCAACTTTTTAGTGTTTCCCCTACCTAGGCTACCCAGGTCCTCTCTCTGCTGGTGAACTGCATCTTACTTTACTACATTTAATGCAAATGTATTGGCTCTTTATTATTTTTAAATCCTTTAGCTTAAATGTAGCATCTTTCCAAGAAACCTTTGAATAGAATTTGAATTTACGATTCTATAAATGGAAGTAATACCTGTGTGTTCATTATGTGAAGAAAAACTATTACTTTTCTCTCTTTCATATTTCCATAAGTTAAACATGTTATTCAAAATATATTGAATACATGTAAAACAAGCTTCTTTTCCTATTAAATACTTTTCACAAATATTCTAGCAGCTTAATGGACATTAGGTGTTCATGATTACTTTTTACCCTGTCCTTTATCCATACAAAACTCATCCTCGGCCAAGCGCAGTGGCTCATGCCTGTAATCCCAGCACTTTGGGAGGCTGAGGTCAGGAGTTCAAGACCAGCCTGGCCAACATGGTGAAACCCTGTCTCTACCAAATATTCAAAAATTAGGCAGGCATGGTGGCATGCACCTGTAGTCTCAGCTACGCAAGAGGCTGAGGCAGAAGAATTGCTTGAACCTGGGAGGCAGAGGTTGCAGTGAACCAAGACCATGCCACTGCACTCCAGCCTGGGAGAAAAAGCGAGACTCCTTCTCAAAAAATAAATAAATAAAATGAAAATAAAAAAACTCATCCTTAAATATCTTCAAGAGCCATATTTTGTAGTTTTGCTTTATAAACATAATTTTATCTGGTTTGGGGGCATTATTTAAAATTCATAATCCAGGATATTTAACATTTTCTGCTTAAAAAACATATGGATCTATAAAGAAAGTGTCATGTGGAAAACATCTGTGTTATTGTGAATAATGTGAGTTTGAGCATTATTTATAACTTATTATGTAGTAGTCATTTGAAAATCGAGTCTTATAGTTTTTGAGCTGAGTTTTATAGTATTGCATGGTTTTTAATAAATTTTATACATACTATTTCATAACTATTTTCAATCACATTCAACTGATAAACATTCCTTTTGTTATCAATTTCTCCAATAATTATTTTTCCACATTTTCTTTGTTTTAAATACCTGGAAAATGTACACACATACTGTGTTTGAATTATTTAATGAATGGCAAAATGCAATAAATGTAATTCTCCAATTGGTCTTCTAATTCTAATTATTATGCAACATTAAAAATTACAATTATATGTTTCTAATTTTGATATTAAACCAAACAGAATTAGTTAAGCTAATGTGAGATAAGAGTGACTTACACTGAATCTATGATCTGGTCTATTTTGGTTTGCTGTATCAGCAGTGAAACTGCAAGCCAATAAATATGTCAATTAAAAGTTGTGAGCAGGTTTATTTAAATTGATTTCCAAATGCTTCCCTCTCTGAAAAAAAAAATCTGTGGTCATTTTAGTAAAGCACTTGAATCATTGAAGAAAGGAATGTTGCACTGATTTCTCTTACATCTTCAGGTGGAATATTTCTGAAATATTTTGTAAAAATAAAGTTTTAACTGACTATAATCTATCTAACTTAAAACACTATTCATCTTGCTAAAATTTTATATCATAGCCATATACATGATTTAAAATTTTCTCGTGAGTTCATTAAGAATATTAATAGAAAATATATTTAAATATATTTTGCCTTTATGCGTAAATATTATGGGAGTGTGCTGTGACTCTCAGAAATGATTCTTGACTGATGGAGGATGAGAACCAGAATTATTCAGTGGACTCTTCTGGAACACTTTCTCTACAACTTTTAAGGAGTTCCTCCTCAAGCTTGGGTCCTGGTAAGTGAGAACTGTAACCATAATTGTAGTAGCTCACCCATAGAGAGCTCCCCCAACCCTACCTGCCTGTATCATGCTTCCCAGTCCTCCACTTCTGATACATGTGATTGCTTCCCCGAATAAGCTTTGCGAACCCAAACCTTGTTTTAGAAGAAACCCTAGATAAGACAACAAAGGGAAAAATCAAAACAAAATAAAACAGAAAACCCTAATGAACTTTGTTATAGTTAAGAGTGTTACATTAAAAAAAATATGTCTGGCCTTTTCTTCTTATAGAGACTACTATTATATTATTCAGGATTAGAGTATGGTTAGGATCAGGAGTAACTAGCAAGGCAGCAAGTATATCTTATTTGTTTATTTATATATATATGGAGAAAGAATAGAAAGCTGTTTGTATTCGTGAAAAAATAAGACAAAAGGGAGGAAAAAGGAAATAGAAGAAAGGAAACGTGGAAAGAAGGAAGAAAAGAAAGAAGGAAGAAAGGAAAAAGGTGACAATGAGGAAGACACAAATAGAGACAGATAGGGAAGCAAAAAGTAGAATTTAATTTTACATTATTAGGACTTGCTGAGACATTATGGTGAATATCAATATGATGTTTACAAATAACGCAACTAAAAAAGTTGTGCCATCATAAATAACTAACATGAATAGGTTTAGTCTTTTGGAAGCACTTTAATATGTTATAATAATCACACAAATTTGTGGTGCTCAACTTTGATGACGAAGTAATTAATATGAATCACATGGTCTGTTTCTAGTCTAGTGATATTCAGCATACACTTGTATATATTGCTGAACATTTGGATGCTACCCTTTTGCCTACCACAACTATAATATTTATGTAATTGCATTATACTTCATAGAAGATTGTATACACATACTCTGATAGGCATAAATATTTTATTAAAATGAAAATATAAAAAACAACCATTATTTATAAAACAAAATTATAAACAAGACTGCAGGGAATGTGTAGAAATATTTATATTTTCTAGGGTTATGGGATTTTTTCAAGTGCCTTATCTTTCAATATTTTTCAAATTATTAGGGTGTTTTATGTTAATTTATAATCCACAGTTTTCAGTGAAATATACATATTAGCTAAAGCGATGATATTTAAGTTAACAGACACCAACCATCATTTTTCATATCTCGACATCATTCTGATAGTAGTTCTCATTCTCAAGCAAATGCACAATTTTAATTAGTTCACAGTCCCTGCTAAATCTTGGATGGTTTTCAGATACTAGTATTAGATTTCAGATACTGGCTCTTCTACACTGATTGTCCATGTGTAACCAAACTCAGGTCTGGCCACTCACCACTTGCAGAGTCCAATTAACAAGAGCAAGGTCTGGTAGAGAGAGAGTGACTTTATCAACCAAACCTAGTAATCAAGAAATGTCTAGATTCCCATTCAAAGCAATCACTTCTAATTTCTAGGGAGAAGGCAACGGTTTATAAAAGGGTCTTGGGCCTGGGCATGGTGGTTCTATAATCCTAGCACTTTGGGAGGCCAAGGCAGGAGGATTGCTTGAGCCCAGGAGTTTGAGACCAGCTTGGGCAACACAGGGAGATTTTGCCTCTTAAAAGGAGGTAGTGGGACTTGGTGTGAATGGCATGCAGGGAATGGGGTAAGGAAGTGTGGGGTCTTCATGATTCACTTCAGTTTCTTATCTATTAGGCAGTCTGGCTGGCACCTTCTGGGGCAGAGTTAGGTTGTAAACTACTCAAAGTAATCTTGTGGGAGAAAGTTCCAGAGACACCTGGTTTCTTTCAAGGTTTGGTCCCTGGAACTTCAAAGCACACACATAGTTATATAAGCTTGCAATTCACAGTGTCTGGTGAAGAGAGGTAAAGGTTATAACTGCATTTCTAAAGAGTTAAGTAGGAATGGAGAAAAGGAAAAAGATGAAAATAATTCTATTTTTTTTTCCTTAGGAAAATGGGGTACATGGTTACAGTTGTCCATGCTTGAAAGAAAAGGACTGGTTTCAAAACAGAATAGGAACATAAAATAGTAATTGTCTTTCAGTTTGTTTCTTCTCAATGACTCAAGTATGTATTAGTCCAGATAAAACTCATCCCCAAACTCTTTGAGACTTAAGCATTAGTTTCTCCCTCAAAATGCATGTACAGTTTAGGAAATATGCCTGTGGTTGAGAGGGTCCTTTATTCCATGAAGTGACCCAGGGGCTCAGATGGAAGAAGAATCTAATTCATTATAACAACAGCATCTCAATACGTGACTTCACAACACACTGTGTTAGGAGCCAATAAAACTGTAGAGTAGCATACAATCTCTAGCATTGTATTTTACTGGCAGTAATTGTCTTATGACCACACTCAAATGGAAAAGGACTAATTAATATACAATGGCAAATGAATTATTGGGTGAGCAATAATTTTGCTTTATGTTTTTGTTGCCAAACACCTCTTTGTGTTTGTTTGTGTCCTTTTTTCTTTCTTACAACATATAATACACACTCAGTCATGCCTCAGGAAAACAACCTAAAAATTCATTCGTTCACTACATCCAGCTCAAATCATAGAATCTCTGGGTGCTATGAGTGATTTCAGTGACAAGTCTGGCTGTGGCTCTTATTAACCTGAAAAACTTTGCACTAAAGGACAAGTTATCTTCCCTCTACAAATTCCCGATATTACATAGTGAAATAAAGACTGGATATCTGCGCTGAAGTCTCGTGATCAGAAAGGGAGATATGAAAGATTATCAACAGTCCTTTGACTACAGCTTTTCTGCAATCCTAGATAGGCATTGTGAGCAGCACAGATCATAGTGTTGGTGGGTATTCATTGATTAGGCTCTGATTCTGATGTACAGGTCTTGTGCCACAGTGCATTGCATTCTATTGTCCTCGTCCTCCACTCAGAGAGATTCTTCTTTCCCTTACAGTCATTCCCTCTTATCCACAAGAGGTTAGTTCTAAGGCTTCCAAAGATGCCTAACATCACAAATAGTACTAAATGCTATATATTCCATGAATGAATATGTTTTTCCTTCTTCATAATTTTACAGGTATAGGATTCATTCTTACCATGGATATTAGCAACTTCAGTATACAATTTTTTTTTGTCTTTTTTATTGTTAAGATCTTTCCATTTTTCACTTCAAGGAAGCACTTTATGACTTCTTTTTGGCATATCTGAATTGCCAGCATCACTACTCTTGTACTTTGAGACCCTTATTACATAAAATAAGGGTTACTTGACCACAAGTGTTGTTATACTAGAATATTCCATCTGATAACCAGATGGCTACTGAGACAGTGTGAATACACTAGAGAAAGGAATGATTTACATTTCAGGTGAGATAAAGTGGGGTGGTGTGAGATTTTATCACACTGCTCTGAATGGGATACAAATTCAAACTTATGAATTGTTTATTTCTGGAATTTTTCATTTAATATTTTTGAACCACAGTTGCCTATGGGCAATTGAAATCACAAAAAAACAAAACTGGGGATAAAGGGAAACTACTGTATTCCTTTTTTTTTTAATTTGGCTTTGCTTGAAGGAATCTGCCTATTTTAGACTTGTTTACCTTTCTAAACTCATTTCAATTAAAGGATTTGTGGGGAAGGGGCAAAGTCTACAGTAGTAACAGCTATTTATTTCTTTACCATTAGGTTGGTGCAAAAGTAATTGCAGTTTTGCCATTACTTTTAATGGCATTATTACTATTATAATTAATATTGTTACCAGGGGGTCCTTGCTCCCAGAGCTTCCAAGATGGAGGCAGGCCGCTTCCAAGATGGTGGCAAGCCTCCTGTTCTCTGACTTGGGGTTCTTGGCCTCACGGATTCCAAGGAATGGAATCTTGGCCCATGCAGTGAGTGTTATAGCTCTATTAGAAGCCATAGGTCACAGAAGAGAACCGTGGAACCCAATGACTAGTGTTCAGCTCGATTAGGATGAACCCGGGCACTTAGCCGTGCAGGAACAATGGCAAGCCTTTAGCCCGATTGGGAGTGGCAGTGGGCGCCTTGCTGGATCAGGAGCACAGTGGACACCCTGCCGGATCTGGAGGGATGGAAGTCAGCGGCAGGTCTGTGACAGTAGCAAACAGCAGTGGTGGATGGCGAGTGAAAGCTCAGCTTGAGCCGTAACAAACATGGACCAGAAGAGAGTGCAGTTGCAAGATTTAATAGAGTGGAAACAGAGCTCCCATACAAAGGGAGGGGACCCAAAGAGGGTAGCTGTTGCTAGCTTGAATGCCTGGGTTTATATCCTGATCATTGTCTCTCCCACTGTGCTCTCAGGCAATAGATGATTGGCTATTTCTTTACCTCCTGTTTTTGCCTAATTAGCATTTTAGTGAGGTCTCTTTACTACCTGATTGGTCAGGTGTGAGATAACTTGCAAGCCCCGTGTTTAAAGGTGGATGTGGTCACCTTCCCAGCTAGGCTTAGGGATTCTTAGTTGGCCTAGGAAATCCAGCTAGTCCTGTCTCTCGATATTATTATTTCAGATTTGAATTTGTTTTAGCAGCTTAACTATTTCAAAAAAAAGTAAACATTTTTATTTATTTGATGCCAGCCTATTCTATATGCTAGTAAATATTTATACACAGAGTTCTTATATAGTTTGTATGTATAGATATAGTGTAAACTGAAAAAGTTCCTGAGAGAGTTGTCAATCAGTTTGGAGGCTTATTTTGGTTGTGAATGCACTAGGGATAAAGAGTTACAAGCCATTGTGAATAGTGCCACAATAAATATATGTGTGTGTGTCTTTATAGTAGCATGATTTATAATCCTTTGGGTATATCCCCAGTAATGGGATCGCTGGATCTTATGGTATTTCTAGTTCTAGATCCTTGAGGAATCACCACACTGTCTTCCACAGTGTTTTAACTAGTTTACAGTCCTACCAACAGTGTAAAAGCATTCCTACTTTTCCACATCCTCTCCAGCACCTGTTGTTCCTGACTTTTTAATGATCGCCATTCTAACTGGTGTGAGATGGTATCTCATTGTAGTTTTGATTTGCATTTCTCTGATGACCAGTGATGATGAGCATTTTTTCATATGTGTGTTGGCTGCATAAATGTCTTTTGAAAAGGGTCTGTTCATATCCTTTGCCCACTTTTTGATGAATCAACCCAAATGTCCATCAATGATAGACTGGATTAGGAAAATGTGGCACATATACACCATGGAATACTATGCAGCCATAAAAAGGATGAGTTCATGTCCTTTGTAGAGACATGGATGCAGCTGGAAACCATCATTCTGAGCAAACTATCACAAGGACAGAAAACCAAACACCACATATTCTCACTCATAGGTGGGAACTGAACAATGAGAACACTTGGACACAGGGTGGGGAACATCACACCCCAGGGTCTGTCATGGGGTGGCGGGCAGGGGGAGTGATAGCATTAGGAGAAACACCTAATGTAAATGATGAGTTAATGGGTGCAGCACACCAACATGGCATATGGATACCTATGTAACAAACCTGCACGTTGTGCACATGTACCCTAGAACTTGGAGTATAATAAAACATAAAAATAAAAAAAGAGCTTTAGTATCTTACAAAAAAAATGAAGACAATACTTTCAAAGGTCAGGGAGATGCTCTTGGTCTTTAAACTGTTCCCACTTAGTGACAGGTTATCCACACGTTCTTGGTGCATTCCCCATGCCTCTTTCCAATCCCATCATATAATGACCAACTTTATAGGGGCTCATGAAAATGGTGTTGGCCGCAGTGGTTGGCAATATATTGTTACGGTGCCCATGAGAGAAGCCCCCTACCCATCACCACCCACTCAATGAGTCCTCAGTGGTCGCTAAAAAACTTAGCTCTTTACAACCAGCTGTTCAGGTTAATCAGGGAAAAAAAAAAAAAAAAAAAAAAAGAGTTACAAGCCAAGCATAATCTGTGGCCCACACTTTTTCCAGAAAGAGTTTTGAGCACTTCAATATTTAAAGGGGGAAGGCAGGCAGGAAGGGAAGGAGGAAAGAAAAAAAAGGTGGGAGGAGGTAGACAAATGAGACAGGTCATTACATTCCTTTGAGGTTTTGATTAGCACTCACTGAATCCACATGTTGCATGTGAAAAGGAGGGGGTAAAAGAACAATCAAGTACTTATTCATGTCATGCTTAGTAAATCTGCACTTTACATAAGATAAATACAGAGCAGAGGAAGATGACAAATATATATTCCTCTACAGGTGGTGGAGGGAGGATTCCTAGTCTCCTCTTGCCTCATGAAGATAAGCTGTTAGTTTTACATTGTCAGGGTGAGGGAAGCTATCTGGGGAGATACGTAGCCTTCTATCTTGTAGCTGTGTATTTAGGAACAAAAGGAAAGGCAGTTTTCTGCAAGCCTCAGCCTCCAAGCTTAACTGTTCCTTTTGGCATAGTAAGTTTGGGGTCCCGATATTTTATTTTCCTTTCATATCTATTTTTTTTCTATATGTAATTTCTTATCCCCCGATCTTTCACTCTGTCTTCAAATTTGAAGTTGATAACACAAATTCTTTGGCTTCTGGGGAAAAGCTATAGCCTGAAATTCTCTAAATAAATTAATTTGGTTTTATGATTTAACTGTTCTCTATGAGAGTAATCTGATCTTTGCCCTGAGGCATTTGAAGCTTCTGAGAATTTTTAGCAATAAATGGGAAAGGTACACTCTCATTTTTGTCTTGGACAAAATGCTGAGTTTTGATAGAGTGTTGCCTCTCAATTATAGCTTTTACTGTTTGAGCTTCATCGCATCAAGGCCCAAAGTTACAGAATGTGTTTACTTCATTTTATTTCTGCTGTTCAGCAATCCCTTTCTTCACTCATCTTTCTGGTAATGCTTGATAAAATTTAGTCAATAAAACCCCAAAACACAAACTTTGTTTTTTGATCTCTTTCCCTACAGCTACAAAATAATTGGACATGCAATCTGCCTCACAAGATATTTCACAGATATGTTGTTGCCAACCATTCCACTACTGCTCAAGAGTGACATCTACAGCTTTTCCTGATTGTATCCTCCACTCCCTAAGGAGAAGCTGTGTCACACAATCACTTAATTGAGGTGGCATTCTACTGAAAGCAAGACCTGTATTAGGCAGGCAATGCCAGATAATGCTTAGTATCAAAGAAACCAAAAGTATTAGTGGCTTAAAATAAACACATATTTTATTTGTTCTTCATGTCCAACTCAGGTCCTTGGTTGAGCTACACTCTACATTATTACTCGAAATCCAAAGCTATTAAAGATTCATGACCTAGAAGGCTTAGCTACAGTAGAAGCCAAAAGAGAATTACAGAAGATTAGATGGTGGCTTTTTCATGTTTTGTTGGTTACTACTGTTTAGATGATCAATAAAACAGTCTTAAACACCTCATCAAACCCACAGAACATCAGAAAGGATTTTTTCCCCTTCCCTCCCATCTAGGCCCCCCTCCGACCTCCCTTTCCTAAGAGCATTTACTTTAGGGAATTTGCGATTGTAAATTATTTGTCTGCCCTTTGAGATGTAAATCTTTTTCACAGCCACTTTTACAACCCAAAATGATTTTTTCCCAAGGATCTGGGAGCCATCCTTTTGAAATGTAAATATCAAGGAAAAGAGTGATCCTATCTCCTAATCTACGTGTGAGGTTAGATGCCTAATTTAGATGAACACCTCCCTCTACTGCATGTTGTAAATTTGCCTGCTGTCATGAAAATACAAGAAAGTTTACTTTTCCTTTGAGTAAAGTTAATTAGCAAACACAAATGGCCTAAAATCCTCCCACTTCCTTCTTAAAAACTCTCCTCTGAGCACTTATGCTCAGATTGAGTTCTGACTTCTCTCCTGTACTGTAAATAAAGCCTTCCTGGCATGTTTAACTTTGTCTGGTGCAAATGTTGTGTTGACAATGGAAACAAGTAATTATAAGAATAGAAAAATAATAAGAGAACAAAAGGAATATTTAGTGAACAGTGCTGTCTCTTTTATAATGTACCAGAGGCAACAAGTCTGTACTCACCATATATTATACATATATAACACTGTCTACACCTGAAATTCCAGAAATTAGTAGCAAATATATATCTCTTGTAAGGTAGGTTTATGGCAAATTTTCTTAATTCATGGGGGCTAAACCCAGGATGAAAAGAACAGTGATTAAAAAAAGAAAAAGCCCCAAATCTAGAATCTACTCATTTCATAGACACTAACATTTTAGAAGGGCCTTTGGAATTAAGTAATTTATTTTTTCAAAATGTTGTGTTTCTTTCTCATCTGTACCACCCACATCACTACATTAGTTTCTTCTGCACATATCTAAAGTAACTTCAATATCTCTGTAAGAAGTTTCCTAAAGCTTTGGTTACTCGGATTCCTGGCTGTGCCACTCAACTGTCTCATGTGCACTGCATTGAAGGAAATCACAAGCATACAACCAAATAGGGCCCAAAGCCAAGTCAAACAGGCTTAAACAAGAAAGATTATTATTTGGCTAATATAAACTGAATTCTAGAAGTATATTAGCTTCAACGTATATTTGGGTCAGCAACTCGGTGTCAACTTTTTGTTTTGCATTTTCTAGCATTAGTATCATTCTAAGGTTTGTTCTCTTTCACAAAATACCTGAAAATCGCTTCTATATCTTTGCTCAATCAGTGCCACAAAGGAGCAAAAAAAGTGACTTCTATATTCCTCCAAAATACAACATGAATACAAATACAATCCAATTAAAAAAAAACCTTTGATTTCCAGAGACTTCTACAAATATCTTCCTCTTTTCTCCTCAGAATTAATTGAATCATGGCTCACATTTTTAGCCATTACTCTTAGGAAAATATTTTGCCCAATAAATCAGGCCTTTACCACGGTTTTGTCTGGAAATCTTTCCCTAAAATACTTCAGTACTTCAGTACTTTTCTAAAGAAGGAGAATGGATGTTGGTCTATGTAACTGTTATCATTTAGTCAATTTACAATAAATAAGAATTCATTAAAATCATAGCCATACTAACACACATTTTAGTATTTCCTTTTTTATTCCAAACTCCTATTCAGCCACTTTTCTCTCATATCCAAGAAATTCATATATTTGCTTTTGCCTAGCCATTTAGTCAATGCGTGTCAAACTCTATTCTAGCTTTTAGAAATGGTAAAACAGCTTTTACAAATGTATTTATTCACAATTTAAATTGTCTACTTGCTTTGCAAAACTAGACAATACTGTGTCTATTTCTTCTAACATAGATTGCAAAATAATTTTTAGAAAAAAAGAACAAAATCAGGGCTTCTCAGCTCTATAAATTCCACTACTTATTCACATAACACTGATCTTGCAGACATTTTTGATGTCATTTTGTGAAAAAAATTTTTATGTTTACAAATTTGCCATTACCAATTCAGTACAATCTTTTAAAGTTCATATTTTTTCTTCTTGGAAAATTCATTACCTGGGTTTTTTAGTGAAGGCATGCTAATAGTAGTCTATCACTTTTGTTTGCATGCAATGTCTATTTTGCTATTACTGTTGAAGATTAGCAGAAGCAAATAAATAATAGTCGGTTGACATTTTTTTTTCTCAGAAATTTGAAGATAATCTTCCACTGTCTTCCTTTTTCTATGGGTCCTGTTGAGGCCTGTTATGACTTAATTTCAGGTAATCTGTCTCTTGTTTCTGGTTTTTGATAATTCCACTTAGTCTGGGGTGATCAAATATGGTATTTTCATGTGGGGATTTAGTAATTTTTGTTTTCTTCAAAATCATGTATTTACAGAGTGACTGTATTTTCCAGCTTTCATATGTGCCCAGTATCATATCTGATGTAACATTTCTCCTACATTTTAAAAAGTTTCAACAAAGTACACTATTAATAAGAATTTTAGTGCAGTGGCTCATGTCTGTAATCCTAGCAATTTGAGAGGTCAAGGTGGGAGTATTCTTTGAGCTCTGAAGTTCAATACTAGCCTGGGCAACATAGTGAGACTCTGTCTCTATAAAATAAAAAATAAAAATAATAAAAATTTTAAAATAAGACATGATATATTAGAAAAAACAAATTTTAAGACTAAAATTACTTTTAATTGGAAAAGCCGCAATTATTTTTGCACCAACCTAATGATCTGTTAGTCTTCAAATTTGTTTTTTCTGGATTCTACCAGTGTCTAATGTAGTAATTTGTAAGAGACTTAAACTGTGAACACATCTCTCACATACTTAAGAAATTAAATCTGAAAGAATACTGCAACTAAACTCTGTCCTTTTCAGACCCATTATGATGTGAAGAAACCAGTATCTCCCTTTCAGAAAGAGTATGTAGGGGGTTATCTGATAAAAATAAATTCACTTGGACAGAGCAGGCACAGTCAGCCCTTCACCACTTCTGATCTTAGAGCGTGATGTAATAAATGATCCATGCTGCTGTCTCTGCTGGCCGCTTGGTGAAACAACCAGTTTTGTCATGTACATCGCCTAAGCCTTGGGGTATGAAAAGCCACAATGGAAAGCCATTCTGAGTACCTGCAGACTTAATCCCACCTGGAAGTCACCAAAGCTAATGGCTTGCTTCCTTTAGAATAATAGGTCGATCTCTCCTTGGTGCCATTTGAGCCACAACAAGTGTCTGCTAGTTGGAACCAGAAGTTGGGCATATTTGACAAAAGTATAAGAAAATTGGGAGCGAACAATACTGCAGTAAAACTCCGAGCAAGCTATCAGATTAGCCTATATAGAAAGTGGGTATATCATTCATTCAAACCTGGCTAAAGTGTGGTACACAGACCAACAACATGGACATCACCTGAGAACTTGATGGAAAAGATAGCTCCCAGCTGATGCCTGTGCTCCTGTTCTTCAAAGTTCATTCAAGTAGCAGAAATTTAGTGCACAGTATAAATAAAACACTTTTAAACAAATACACACATTTTATTCCATTCATTGCTAGCACTTTACTTTTGCAATAAATACATTCAACAACAATAAGCTTAAATAAACAAGTACGGTTTAATAAAAACTCAAGTATTTCATATTTATTTTACAAGAGAGTTGATTCTAAACTGCTAACTTTCACAACACATCTGGTGACTTTCATTATTTACCCAGGCAAGTATAGTAATTACTATAGAGGACACAAGTGTGATAAGAAATCTTCAACATCTACTTCAAAAGTTTCCTATTATTTTAGGAAGATAGTGCTTCTATCCAGATAATTGAGACAGGGAACTTTAAAAGTACATTTACATATTACTCTGTGAAGCATGACTTCATTCAGATCAGAAGGTGTTCCTCTAAATAATATTCTATAATGAAGTTGGTTCCCATGCATGCTGTGACAGAGTTTCTGAATTTTCTTTTAAATCATTGTTTATATGCCTTTCTATACTGATTATTCTGTTCTTTGTTGCTTCTTATATACATTTAGATTACGTCTTTGACATTTGGGTTGCTTTGCAGACATTTTAAAATCAGGCAGCCCCAGTGAAGACTCCTCATTGCAGTCTTTCTCATCATTCTGCAAGCTGTACACAAAGCATGGCACCAGCATCTGCTTCTGCCGAGTCTTCAGAAAGCTTACAGTCTTGGCAGAAAGCAAAGGGAGCGCAGGCAGTGTCACATGGTAAGACAGAGATCAATGTGGAGTGAGGTTCCAGACTCTTTAAACAAGCAGATCTCATGTGAACTCAGAGAAAGAACTTACTCACTACCACAGGGAGGGCACCAAGTCATTCATGAGGGATCTGCCCCCAAACACCTTCTACCAGGCCCTACCTCCGATATTGGGGATCACATTTCAACATAAGATTTGCAGGAGATAAACATTCAAACTATACTAATGTTTATTGAATGTAATTCTGCAATAAAATTATTATCAAATTATACATTCATTGAATTACTGTTTATGTTCCATAAGCTCTATCACATTGTTTGCTTCTTCTGAAATTGCATTCTCTTAAGTATAGAACTTAGAATGTGATAACATTGAGTAAATATTGAATGAATAAACTGATAGATGAACAGATGGATGAGTGAACAAATGAGTAAATACAATGCTTGGAGGCCAAATACTACACTTAATTGGTCTGCCACGATTACTGGATGAAATAATAAAAATCCAAATAATGTTTGACATTTTTTTTCTTACTGTTATGATCTAACCTAGGGCAATTCAAACATTCCTTATGAGATATGCGTTTTTTATTTCTAAATCTGTTCGATAAGTTTTTGTATGTTTGATTTTTATTTGTGTATCTTTCCAAACTAAGGGAAAATAGTTTATCATCAAAGCTTGTTTACAATTGTTTAAATCTTTTTCTTATTTGTTTATATTGTATGAATATTATTGGGTAAATAAATGCATTTATCCATTTAATCACTAATTCAGATATTCAAAATGATTCATTATAATTATATATAAAGCACTTATTTCTCATAGTAAATTTATATTTAATTTGTGACAAAGTAGAATAAAATAATTTCTAATAATGATATATGTTCTCAGTAATCTAAAATATTGTTTTCTGAGAGAATGAAAAGATAATAATTTAGGGTGGCCAGAAAAAAAATCTTCTAGAATTAGATGACATTTGAGCCAGATGAGAGTAAAAACAAATACAATCACATATGAGGGGGGAAGAGGGGCAAAATAGAGACAATAGGAAGTGTAAAATTCTGAGGCGCAAATTTCCTGAAACAGGAAAAATAACCATTTGGAATATTTAAAAAATACAGCAATGCTTGCTATGATTTTTATATAGAGAATGGACAATAGGAGAAGTATTAGAAGCTGGGAGAATGATTAAGGGGCTATTGTAATTGCCCAGTAAAAAGAAAGTTGTGGCTGGCTATGGATAATCGCTGAGTTAATGGTGATAATTAATGACACTTAGTGTATATTTCAATAATATGAAAACAGTACCAGCTGAGACATGGAATGTGCAAAGAAACATAGATTAGGTATCAAATACTACAAACATTTTCAATATGGGCAATTGATGCAGATGAAGTACAGGCCATGGAATATACTCCTCTATTTCTTCTTTATTGTTTCTCTTTCTTCTCTATCTCCTCTTTCTATTCTATTTTTCTCTTACTAGGTAGAAACTAGTAAACTGCAAGCAAAATTGTCGGTTTCTGGACTGATGCATTACGTAAATAACAGATATTTGGATCCAGCTCCCCGATTGTGGGTTGGCCTATGATAAATGCAGTTAATTTTGTTTTTAATGTCTGAAATGGACTTAGGTAACTTGGTACATTTGTTCTAAAGAATAAAATACTTTATGCTGACTTGTAAATATTTCCTCAAAGAAGTATTACTTTGGAGCAAGAGGCAAATATAGAGTGAGAATGATGAAATTACTTTCAATAATGCAAAAAGCTCAATCTGTAAAAATATTCTTATTTCAACTTACTTATTTATAGAGCTCTCAGGTTTTTTTCTTCAAATAATGTATATTTTCCAAACTAGATCTAACTTCCCAAAATAAGGATTTGGTATGGTTTAATGCCCCTTTTTGGAGACATTATTTAAATAGCATATATTTTAAGCTTTACATCTAGCAAGCATAATGCTAAATTATATAATAATACGTAATCATTAATAGAAAATATATAATAATTTATTTCTAACCTCAAAGAATTATGAACGGAAATTTGTGTGTTTCTATGGATACTTGTTCATGATACAGTGACAGGTATATAAGAGAAAAATACTAGAGAACATTCATGTAATACTTGCTAAGAAAAAATTCTTTTGTAAAAATATCTTATTTTAATATTGGTATTGTAAACAATCCAGAAATCAGTATCTTTCGCACTACTTATTCTGAATCTTGATAGTGTTGGCCTTGAGACTGATTATATAAAGTTAGATGAGAAAAATCAAAAAGATAAAAAGCTTAAAAGGAGATAAGTTTTATTCTAATCTTATAAGAAACTTTCTGAAGTGTAAATAAGTTACCCAGTCTATTATTTTCCAGAAATTTCCCTATGTCTTCCTTAAAAAGAATTAAGAATTAATACAATGTAAATCTGGCATGATAACTTTATGTTTGAGTAAATGGGATTGGATATCTTTGCTTGGTTTGGGAGAATTCTTTTAGATATTCTACACACACAACATTAGTAACAGCCCATAAACAAATAAACAACAAATATATAGAAAAACAATTACAACAACAAACTAGTGAAGTAAAGTTAACAAAGCAATCACTCATACTGATCTCAGGATGAAATTACACATTTGCTTGTAATCATTTTGTGTACACCCTATTAATAAATCACAATGCCAAATTTAGATTAATCTATCAATACCTCATACTTTCATGAGCTCATTAAATTATCTTAGGTAACATTTTTGATATTTTCTATTAAACTCCCTTAATAGTCTCAATGCTGCTTTTTTGTTTTGTTTTGTTTTGTTATGCAGGTGTTCTATTCTCTCTTGCATGGTAATCTCTAATTCGCATTTTCCTGAGAAAGTGCCCCTTCCATCCAGATTTTCAAATTTATTAGCACAGAACATGTGGCTATTTCTCTCATATTTACTGGAATTGATGCTCTATCCATTTTTATATTCATCTTCTCATTTCTGATGTTGTGAATGTGACTTTTTTTTCCTGACTTTTTTTCTTTATTAGATTTTCCAGTAGTGGATTGTGTGCCTTAAAAAAAAATCTTTTAGTTTGTGAGGTGTAATTTGATAGTCTACCTTGAGCTCGTTAGTTACCTTTGTTCAGTTCTTGAATTAATAGTTAATTCCACTATTTTCATTAATTTCTTTCTTTATAAACAAACTTGTGTATCCAAATTTGTCTAATGGACATTTTTACTATGTAAAGTATATTGTTATTATTTTTAAATACCTCTAATTACAATTTTGAATTTCTTTCTAAGACAAAATTTTGAACTATCTATTCTATTTTTTCACTTGCATTGGTTAAAATATATATTAATGGTTTTTTTTTTTTAAATTCTGGATTGGTTGGTAGGTCTAGATCCTGAATTATTGTTAAATACCATATTTGTAAAGAACTGTGAAGGGTTTGAGATTTTGCTTTTGTTGCAAGATAAAATGTTAGCCTATCAATATTTCATGGATTTTGTCAAAACACAACATTCTTGGGTTGAAGGCCAAAGCAGTTTATTACACATAGTAAAACAGGCAGCATGAGTCATGTAAATGTGCGTGTTCCACTTGCCCGCAGGTCCGAAAGGGGTCACACAGGTGAGCCAAGATAGATGTCTGCCTATGCAGTGGTTTATATTATTGGAAGTAAACCCAAATGATATACAAAGGACAGATATCATATCTGCCCATTTTCTGGAGAAAGATAATCTTATTTTTCTGAGGCTGTAGCAAACCTGTCCTTTGCTCTCTAGGGAGACAATGTATCTATTTCCTAATGCTATTGACTCTCCAATCATCGGATAATCTAGAACAATGGCAGAAAGAGTCTCTGATCACAAGACCTGTTAGAAATGAGAGAAACCCATAAAGAATTGCCTCCCAACAATATATTCTCTCTATTTCAAATATTGCAATATGTATGTATTCATCATATATATAAATCAATTAGTAATGCTCATGTATGCTTCAATATACATTAAATTATCTCATATATTACAAATTAATATGTATTAGCATAAACATGTGTATATATTTCAATTTTTTAGTTTTGTCTTCTACCTACTTAAATTCTCAGAACAAGAGAGTATGGTGGTTCTCTTAATTCCTTGTAGTTATTGACATATTGATGTGAATGTTTAATATACTTATATGTTTGCTTTAATCAAAATATATTATAAAATATACACAAGCAGCAAAGTATAAATAGAAATCATGACACAGTTGTCAAGAATGCCAGCTATGAAAGCAAACCACTTAGGGTCAAATTTAGTTTTCAATGTTTCTATCTATGTATACCTTGGTCAATCATTCAATTTTTCTATATCTTTTCTTCACCCGTTAAATGAAGTTCATAATGATTGATTGTAAGGATTAAATTAATTTTTATAAAGTCTATAGTAATTGCAACTATAAGCGTTTCATAAATGAAATAAGAGAAAATTATTCTTTCCACACTTGTGCTTTAAAACAAAATTTCTTTTGAGCTATAAGATTATTTATACACATATTTTTAACCTATACATATATGAAACATCTGTAATGTTTTCACCCCAAACTCATACTTTGAATTTAGAAGTAGTTGTTGCTTTTTCTCTTATAACTCTATTCTCAAAATATTAAATGTACTTATTTAGACATTCTTAATTTCCCATAATATTTCAAACATTTTCTGTATTCACAGCCAATCAATTCTACTCTCTTGATAATGTTTATATCTTAAGGAATGAGAATATTTTTAAATACATTAAAAGAACCCACCATCATATTCTCTGCCTAAGTCCTACTGATTTTATTTCTCTATAGTTTAGAGAAGCTATGTCTCTGGTTTGGGACAGTATGTTAATGTAGTAAAGTCACTTATCTTTTGAAAAAGGCAAACAAAAAGATTAAGAAAGTGTTATGATTTTTGAGTCAATTTGTTAAGGAAGAATTGCCTGTAGGTACCCTGAATCAGAAAATGAGGCATGTCTGATATTGTTTTACTGGGTTCCCACCCAAATTTCATCTTGAATTGTAGCTCCCATAATTCCCATGTGTCATGGGAGGGACCTGGTGGGAGGTAATCAAATCATGGGAGTGGGTCTTTCCCATACTGTTCTCATGATAGTGAATAACTTTCACGAGATCTGACGGTTTTATAAAAGGGAGTTCCCCTGGACATGGTCTCTTGCCTGCTTCCATGTAAGACAAGCCTTTCTACTCCTTTACCTTCTGCCATGATTGTGAGGCCTCCTAAGCCGTGTGGAACTGTGAGCCAATTAAACCTCTTTTGCTTTGTAAATTACCCAGCTTCAGATTTGTCTTTATTAACAGCATGAGAACAGACTAATACAATTCTATTTCCTTACTCATCATTAATAAATATTTCAGATTTTAACTAATATAATTCCCATACTTAAATTAATTAAAATTTTTATGGTCCAATCTAAAACTTAGTTAAAAGTTGTAAATATTTATTGGTTTTATAAATAGTACTTTTACTTTAAGCAGAATGTTTTTAAAGATTGGTAGGTTTTGTTTTTAAATTCTTTTCATTACTTCTATATCTTCTGAAATAAGCTACTAAAATTCAACTATTTACATGGATATGAATTTGAAGTAACATATTTTTAAATATTGTTTGCCCAATAAATGCCTTACATAAAAAATCCAGTCAATTGCAAATTGGCTCATTACTGGGAATATGCAACTCTCCTTAGAATTCTATATCATTTGGTCATTTGAAGGTAATTACAAAACTACTTTCTGCAATATGAATTGTGGCCTAATTAAAATTGCCTCTGGGCAGCAATGGTTCTGATGCTAGATAAGCAGTATTTTCTTGATTCCCTCAATACCACTATGTTCTCTTAACTTTGCTGATTTCATGTGTTTCTTGCCAACTCAATTTTTTTCATATTTTAATATGACTCAATGCTGGAATAAAATCTTTCATGGGCAAAAATTCAACAAGTCATCTTTTGACAGTTGTAATAAAAGAAAATTTATAAAATTGGTAAAGGCAACTATCATAAATAAAAATTTATACATTTTATGAACAGGGGACAAAATTATAATAAACACTTGTTATTGTTTGCTCGAACGTAAATTAATGAAAAAGTAAACATGTTAATTTAATGGCTACTCTTTCTAAACTCAATTTAACATAGATATGCATATCTACAATAGGTTTAAATGCATTTTCTAATGAGTGTTACTTTCTAAAGAAATAACACTTTCAACACTTCTATGGTTGGTTTTTAAACAGCGTAAATTAGCATTTACTTAAAACTAGTGTCACAATAAATATGTAGAAAACTGTATATGGAGTTATTAGAAATATGTTCACAGTTTCCCAGGCATGTTATATATAAATAATTAATGCATAAATATATGGGAGTTTTCCATTTTATTAAATAATCTATCTTAAAGAAATCTTTAAGATTTTGTGTTCTATGTGACAAAGCATACCAAAAAAGAATTGATTAAATTAACTTGTGTCTTTTTAGGGATTCAATAGTGGTTATTGTGCAATAAAAGTTGTATATTCATAATAATTTATATACAACTAGTTTATGCCACATTCATTTTATGTTTTAGAAATATATGACAGTGCCACAAATTTAGTTTTTGTACAATAAATATATTTTTATTTCATTTTTAATTATAAAATATTCTAATCAATTGAAAAAATATGTGTCTAATGACATAACAAGGAGCCATATCTTTTCATTAGTTTTCATAGATTATATATATTGTCCAACTTATTTAAAATATATTTAATAAAATGAAATATTGAGATAGTCCTAAGCAATTTTTACTATTTTCTTTCCATCAGGAATACCATCTTTCTGAGTTTTCTCTTCCCTTCTTGTCTAAACAAAAATAAACTAATTTATGAAAACACATAGAACTGTACATGAGCACATACACCACAGACTCACATACTCATATATATATTTTAAAACATTGGAGGAAAATCACACATCAAAACAGTGATTATCGCCTGAGAAAGAAAAAGAAAATTAGATTGTTGAATTCTGGCTTTCCAATATCAACAAACAAACTGCTGCTATTGGTTACTAGTATATTTTGTCACTTGAAATATATTTTACTCCTGTTATATCCTGCTGCTGCAGAAAGTTATATTGGCGTTGCTTCCATGTTAATGATCTGCACTTTCTGTGATGCTGCCAATATTTATTGTAAGTCATGTAGTTTCATCAATATCTTTTTTATGTGGATTTAATGTTTTTATATTACAGTGCTCAGGACACAGTGATTAAGCCAGGCTTGCATCTAATATTTCCTAAGGACTTCCTATCAGTCAAGCAGCATTCCAGGTGAAAGGGCACCTTGAAAAAGCAAGACACAATTTTTACTCTTACCAGGTACATAGGCTAGAAGAAATAATATTGAATAAATCAATATGTCAAAATCTATATAATCCAAAATGTTTTAAAAATAAATTTGAGCAAATCTAAAAGAAAATTTCTTAGAATGTGGATCATTCTAGTCATATCTGTTTTCTGCTACTGGATCCTATTAAATTCATTTTGAAGCTTTTCCTTCTATTATCAAAATTTTTACTTTGTGCTTCATGAAGCCCAATCTGTTTTTCTCAGTTCCCCTCTTTTATTTGTCTGCAAACTATCCAATTTTGATCGGGGCAAACTGATAGAGGCAAATGTTTATTATTCAAATATATGTGACTTTTGAGGTAGATATCACAGCTGCTCCTTAGAAAGTAAAAATGTCTAGAATTCTGTGAATGCATATTATCTTTGAAATCCCATTGCACAGCAATGTGGCTGGAAAAACACTCATTTATGAAGTTATTTAATTAAATGGCAATGTATAAAGATGTATAGCTAGCATATGTTGTGGCATTGAAAATATTTGATTTCTAACTATCTTCTAACTCCAGAGTCGAGCTAATAGTTAGCCACTAATTATATATTATGTGGCTATTTAAATTTAAATTAATTAAAATTAAATAAAACTATTTACTTTCTAAGTCACACTTGTTATTTCAAATGCTCATTATCTACATATAACTAGTGGTTATCATATTGGGCACTTCAGATATACAACTTTTCCAACACTGCAGAAAGTTTTATTGAAGAGCACTGCTCTACAGGGTATGATATTCCAACAGTTTCTGTTTCATATATCGTCAAGATTAGGTGGACACAGATTAAATCCATAGTTCTTGCAATGTTCTGATATGTCTTAAATTATTTCAAAATCACATAAGCCTGAACAAATTGAGGTGTGTTGACATCTGAACCTGAAAGAAATAGCCAATTAATAAGGATACAATAGTTTACCAGAAAATTTTACCCAAACTATAGCACGCCTTGGACAATTATTCAGTTGGCTCAATACTGGCAACATGGAAAGAAAGGAAGGTGGTTTAGAATGAGGAGGCAGATTTGTTAAATATCAGTTTGATAATGTTTCATAAAGGCCGAAATAAAATCGGTGTGGTTGCATGGTGCTAGCCCAAAGGAGAACATGATCAATTCTTTCCTGTATGTTGTCCTGACATTGTATGTCATCTGGTAGCACACAACGTTTTCTAGAGTTGAATCTCAAAATTAAAGTTAGTCCAGGCAACATAGTTAGACCCCATCTCTACAAAAAATAATAAATTAGCCAGGCATGCTGGCATGCACCTATAGTCTCAGCTACTCAGGAGGCTGAGGTGGGAGGATCCCTTGGGCCCAGGAAGTTGAGACTGCAGTGAGCCGTAATTGTGCCACTGCACTCCAGCCTGGGCAACAGAGAGAGACCTTGTCTCAAAAAAGAAATAAAGAAAGAAAGAAAAGAAAAGAAAGAAAAAAAGAAAGAAAGGAAGGAAAGAAAGAAAGGAAGAAAGAAAAAAAGAAAGGAAAAGAAAGAAAGAAAGGTACACATTTGTCAATTGTATTGTTTTCACAATAGACAATACAATACAGGAGTAAGGAAAAAAGAAGTGCATTCAGCTTAATGATGAGCATAAACAAAGTCTGTGTCCTGTAAAGGATTTAAGAAACTGGTATTATTTAAGTATAAGTGTATGAGCAAGGCATAAGGGAGTTGAGGCTGAAGAATGAAACAAAAACACAATTGTGTAGTGCTTTGAATTATTGTATGGCCCACTTTTGTCACTAATAAATAATTATACAAAATATCATAGCTATTTCTGCAGAAACATGCTTATAATTATTGTAATGAATAGTTGTTTCCATATTACTGTCTTTTGATGTCACACTTTATGTATTTTTTAGTGCTTTATGGAAAAGTATCACATAATGTTAAATCTTTTGTTACATACTAATATAAAAAAAGTCACTATAATAGAATGTGTAACAAGGCAACACTCTAAAAAAGTGAATTTTAAGGACTGTTAGACATTTCTCTTTAAAGTTACTTCTGGAAGTTAAATATCCTATTTTATTTTTAAAAATAATATTATCAAATATGTCCTTCATCTCTTTTAGTCTTAACCTCATTCTTTACAATTCCATTTTAAACAATATTAAACTTTATAGTTACTGCCACTGTGAAAAAAGCTAGGATTCCTTCCAGGGCATTTTCATGTATAAATCTTATCTTCAAAGGAAATACTCCATTGCTGGATTTCATTCATCTATACTACTGGAAGCTATCCAAGATGTTAAGGACCAATTTAATAAATTGGTTTTTACGAAATTCATAGAGGCTATTATCTTCATTTATTTGACATCAAAACATGTCTTTCTTTTTAATCATTAGAAGATTAATTACAACCATGGTCAGCCAGCATGGAATGGAGGTAATTTCATATTGAAATAATAAGAAACACATAACATATCCTATGGCAATACATACTGATCTCTGTAGAGTTCAGCAAAGTGATTTGGATGTTTTAATTGAAACAACTCTAATTGACTCCTACAGTTCTATTTATAAACTAACATTTAGGACATTAGAACAGGGAGATATCATAAAATATTCTTTCTAAGTATATATGATTCAGAGATATGGACAGATATTTAGACACATTATACTTCATATAAAACACATTTAGAATTAGATATAAATTTCCCCAGGTATTTCATTTATAATTAATATATAGATATATGGATGTTTTCCATTTTCTAAGAAATCTTAAGAATTTTGTGTTCTAGGTGACACAGCATTTTGCAATATCCAATGACTATTCTGCTACATTACAGAATGACATTTCCTAAGTGTTCATTCTTAAAATATAAAAATGTTCAATTTTTAATTGTTCACAATAATCCACCTTCCCCATCTTGGTTTTGTAGTAATATAAGGAGAAAGAAAGAAATCTGTGATTTAATGAGGCAAGATCTAATTAATGCCTGGATTGCATAATCATATCATGAAAGACCAGATAGGCAGTCACATGCCACCCTGTCCAACACTTCTTCAGCCCAATGAGGCTATGCTCTTCTCTGAAAGTTCTCAAGTGTCCTATGTATTTTTTCCCTTATCTCAAATAATCACAATCTTGAAAGTCTTCTAACAACTTATCTTCTAACAACTTATGATGAAAATGATAACAGTTATCAAGCACTTCTTATGTGTTAAAACTTTTTAATTGCTAAATCATTTTGTCCTTGCAGCAATTCTTAAAATGAGAAATCCTATTTTTATTCTAATTTTTGTGATAATGGAACTGAAGAACCAAAGGAAAGTAATTAAATTTTCTATAGCTGTACAGCAAGTAAGAAAGAGAGCCAGGTTCTGAACATTGGCCACCTGGCTCTAGGCAATGCCCTCTCCCTCCTTCCATGAACCAGATACAATAAAATGAGGTAATTCACTGGCATTCCATTACCTACAAACTGTATGTAAGACAAACAGGATAGTCACGGCACCCCATCTCTTAAGCGGAAACATATTTATTTGAGTAACAGTGTGGAGGAAAAAAAAAAAGCAGTGTTTATTTACTTTTTCCAGGCATGAATACCCTTATCTTGTGAATGTCTTTTAAGATAGATGCAAGGGCAGTGCTTGGTGCAAAGGATGACAAATGGAGTTAGTGAGCAGATCTTAGCCAGCCTATGAGCTTCATCATCATTTTCATAAGTCCTTTCAAACAGTAACCTTGCTAAATAAATACAATTTCATCATTAGTCTCTTAGCATGCGCAAGGCTTTCACCTATACTTTTAACCAGAAAGCTTCTCACAATTCTGTTTTATAGAAAATGCTGTGAATGACAGCAGATGTATGGGTACTGGCTTATTCTTAAAACACAAACAACCAAAAATGAAACAACAAAAACAAAAAAATTCAGCTTTAATAGGCAACTTCGAGTTGCTGGTCTGTGTAAAGGAAGAAGAGAGAAGAAACTCATCTCACTGTATCATGTGGTCATTTAATGAGTTATTGTAAATATTCAGCCAACAAAATTGTGTCCACATATGAGATATTTTCTAGTTATTTTCTTCTATATTCTTAATTAGGTCTTCAAGTTTAGGTGCCTCATTAAATAATATACACAGCAAATTTATTTATCTTTTTGTATTTTTAAAATCATTGTTATGGAAATATTTCAACATATACAAAAATAGAGGGGAGACTGCGCCATCACTCAACTTTAACAGTCATCATTACATGGCCCATGTTGCTTCAGTATATCTACACACCCTTACATCTGTATTATTTCAAGCCAACCCAAGGAGATATATAGCATTTCTTCTATAAAAATTGCATTATGCATTTCTGAAAGATAAGGAGTTTTTTGTTTGTTTGTTTGTTTGTTTGTTTTTGGTTTTTGGTTTTTGAGATGGAGTCTTACTCTGTCTCCCAGGCTGGAGTGCCATGGCATCATCTCGGCTCACTACAACCTCCGCCTCCCAGATTCAAGCGATTCTCACCTCAGCCTGCCGAGTAGCTGGGACTATAGGCGCTTGCCACCATGCCCAGCTAATTTTTGTATTTTTAGTAGAGACGGGGGTCTCACCATGTTGACCAGGCTGGTTTCAAACTTCTGACCTCAGGTGATCCGCCTGTTTTGGCCTCCCATAGTTCTGGGATTACAGGCATGAGCCACCATGCCTGACCAAGATAAGGGCTTTTTGAAAGCACAGAGTTCCATTATCACAGGAAGGTTAATTATTTATTTATTTAATGGAATATCTATTCAATGTGTGTCTTATCATGCTATTTTATACATATTCTGGTTTGTGTTTGATTGGTTTTTACCTTTTGCTTTGATTGGGATCCAAATAAGATCCATGTATTACAGTAATTTGTTGGTTTGCGTTTAAATCTCTTTCAGTCTTCAGGTGCTGCCTCTTGTCTTTTTTTTTTTTTCTCTGAAATGTTGATATTGTTAAAGACACTGAATTCTTTACATGTAGAGTACCTATGGTCTGAATTTTGCCCATTATAACCTTGTGATGCTTTTTCACATGCCCCTATGTCATTTTAATACTGGAAAGCAAATTGGAAGTAAAATCACCAGCCTTAAACAGATTCCATTTTAATTTTGTCTTAGATAGAGGATACTGTATTTTTTCATCAGAAGGTACACGTCTCACTATTACTCTTTTTGCTGTATTGAACATTGAAAATCATCTTAGATCTAATCACTCATTAGGAATTGCAAAATGTGTATAGTTTAATTCCATCTTTCATTTTCTTACACTATGCAGAATATTTCTATAAAATAAACTTCCATTAATTAACTCTCTTAAAGTACCAAGATATTGAATAAAAGGCATGATGAAAGATTGATTCTTTCTCTTCTAGCATTTTTTTTGAAGTTTTCTTTCATTTTCCAAAGATGGGAATGACCTATAAGAATATTTTGAGATTTATGAAGAACTCATGGATATAAACACATTTAATATGTATTTACTCAATTTCAGTCATTATTATTGTGATGCTCAAATTGTCACAGATTGCATAATATGGGGTTTCTTAGGCCACTCCTTAATTTTCTTGACATATGATAAAGTAATCAAGTATCAAAGGCACATAGTCTTTTATAACTATCTTGTCTTCTTTAATATCAAGACATCATATGTAGGATCCCACCCTACATCCAGAATCAGCAATTTGTCCAAGGTGGGTTGGCTACCGTCAGGTATAAATACCTTCAATTTCAGCACAACTTCAACCTGTGAGCTAGGAATGCTCAGTGCTCCTGGTTTGGTCATAGTTCTAAACAATTTTCAATTAGTGCTACTAGGGAATGTTTATATTAAGGAGAATATAATTAAGGGAATATTTATATTAAGTATCAGCATTGATACTTTCCACTTGAATTCAATGTGGCAGAGTTTTTGCACAATTTTATATCTTTATCATATGTATCTTTCCCTCCAGAATGAGGAATATCTCTTCTCAATAACACCCACACAATTATTCATATGCTTTATTTTACAGTACATTTATGACAGTCTCAGGATAAAAAATAAAGCACTAACACAGGCAATATTATTACAAAAAGCAGTCTGCTGGCAAATAGTGTAGTTATTCAGTACTTAGATTTTATACTAGTAGGAATGCACAGTCAAAATATTATTGTAAATCTTTTAAAGACACTTGTAATATGTTCTGTCTCTGGTCATTCATTTTATTTTTAATTTTAATGATTCATTTAAAATACATTTGCATTATAATTACACAATTTATTCATTTGTTTTTACATGTAACTTTGTTTTTAAATTTATGGCTTTTCATTCCTTTGTTCTTTTTTAATTAAATATAAGTGATATGTGGATATATCTGTATGATTGTGATTCTGTAAGTATTTATGAGGATACATTTGAGTGCACAAAAATGAATGCACACCTATGAATTGTCAGGGTCTCCAGAAAATTCTCCATTCCTAGTAATTTTCTATTTACTCAACTAAAACCTGATCCTCTCTAGCCGCATAACATGCTCATCTTTATGTCAGAATTACTTCTGCCTTTTCACCTTAATCTGGACACAAAAAAATGCACCAACTTTCTGTCCTCAATTGTATGAAACTACACACACTTATCCTCCAACCAACCAAAACCCTAAGTAGACAAAATCGTATATAAATCCTTCCATCTCAAAAGGAGTAAAACAGTTCCTTCCTCAAATGATGTTTTGTGCTACCTTATATTGCAAATAAAGACTGAAGATTTTCTTGTTTAATACTAGCATTATAAACAAAAGTTTCACCACTCTTTGTTTTCACATTTAATACTAAACTCCAGAGATCACTCCATGTTTGTGCCTTTTGATATTTCTCTTTAAATTTTTTAAGCTGCCTAGTATACTATTAGAGATTTTACATAATGTATTTAATTGGTACCCTAATAACTGACAATTAATTATGTTATTTATAAAATCATATTATTACAAGAAGTGCTGAAAATACTGAACACATGTGTATGATTTTTATAATTTTACAAATGCATCTTTAGGATAAGTTTTTTTTGGTTCAAGTGTTACAACTCCTTTGTAAGAGTTGTACTATTTTGCAATTCACACTAACAACATATAAGAGTGCCTGTTTTTCTTCAGCCTTGCCATATAATCAGTAAATTTTTGGACTTTTTGATAATTTCCTCAGTAAAAAATAGTTTTGTGGTATAATTTTAATTTACATTTCTTTTATTTTTAGCAAACTGGACTTTTTTTTACATATACACAAGAGAGAGATCTTTACATTTCCACCAATGGACTATCTTTTCTTGTGTCTGGTTACAGAGTTGTTGACAATTTTATTCTGTATTTTCCAAAGCTCTTTGTTACAGATTAAAATTGTTTTAAGTTTTATTTCTAAGGCCACTCAGATAAAGCCAATTGTTGGTATATTGAACAATTATCTCAACAAAAGACATATTTGGAAGTTTGTCTTTATCACATTGCACTACTATTTACAGTGAACTTTTAACATAACATAGCCCAGTATTTTTTTTTAATCACTCTTCAAATGGGGAAAAGTTTTCCACATTTTGAATCTTGAATCTTTAAAACAGAAGATAAATATTTACATCTCCAACTTCTGTGGCAACAAGGATACAGTCTAGCCTTAAAACAACCCAAAGAAGCAGGTGCTATTCAGAATCCACTTTTGCAAAAGAGCCCAGTCTATCAAGGTGGCAGTGACAGTGACGGTGGATACAATGGCCAGAGATGACAAGGTGAACTTCAGTGGCTGTGCCCTAGGGAAGCACCTATAGGGTCATGGCTGATAGCATCCCAGAATACCAGTGTTGTTTCTTTCTGACTAGGTGCCAAGCTTTTTTCCTCTCAACAATCCTGTTAGTTAAATTATATTTTGTAACAGATGTGATCCATATTAAACAAACTATAGTGAGTTGTCTAACTATGAACCTTGACTGTTGTAGAAATTGGCACCAGAAGTTAACGATGGTATGCAGCCAATGCTCATGAAATGAGATCATGACATTTGAGAAAGTCATGAGCTCTTGTCTTTCTGAGTTTGAAGGGTTTGAGCTAGACTTAGCATTAAAAGTTGAGAATCTAATAAACTTCAGCATACAAAGGCAAAATAGTTTTTTTTTTAATTAATACATGCTTTTGCTTCCTTATTAAACATTAGATTTTAGGGAACTGAGTAAATTCTGCCAAAGAACAGGGTAAGAGACATGAAGATTACCATGATTTAGTGTGCATTGGCTACTTAAACTAGAGGTTTAAAGAAAAAAACTCCAGTTCAAAATCTAACATTTGATTCAGGGTATGGTCTGATAAACACTAGCTTTCTCTGACTGATAACAGATGCTCTATTCCATTTTCCAATGTACTTTTGGTTCACTGCCAAATTATATCATTTGAATTATTAGATATGTCAACTTTTTAAAGTGAAAGCTAAGGCATTTCCCAGGAAAAGGCTGGCACCCTAGGAATTGACATGGAACAGTGTGGGAGACTTGGATGAGTATGAGGACCCCCATGGCCCACCTCTCCCTAACCCTCCCACTCCATCAGATGCAACACCTTTTTCCACCTGATGAGGCAATACTATCCTTGCTTAATGGCCCTGTGGCAGCCCTTGCAAATGATTGCATATGGTCTCATGCTCAAGTCTCAAACCCCTCAGTCTCACAGCCTCCCACTATGATTATATTCCAATCCGTGTATATTCAGTAGCAGTGGATTTTCACATGAAATATGATATGCTTTAAAAATACAGGTGATGTTTTAGAATAGATTTTCATGGTATCAGGCCATGGAAGTTAGAATATAATCTTATATTAAATGAACATAGAAATATGGATAAACTTAGAGTTTACAGAATGTGCTTGCTCTGGCAGCCAAGAGAGATTCTTCTTTTTTTTGTTCATTTGGTTGTTTGAAACCGCTAATCTGAAAGTTTTTCCACAATAAATATTCCAAACAAACAAACCAAAACAAGATTCCTAAAATCAAAAAAGAATAATTGAATGTGTTTAGCATGCTGATCCATTCACCAACCCTTGAGTTACCTAAGACACTCTCCCATGTCATTGAAGTCAGTGCCAGAGGATTTGAAAACACTGTATTATATTTCCTGTAGACTAGAAAGGTGAATGACACAGATTGCAATTAAAATATGCTTGTGGATATTATGCTTTGGCAGCTTTTATTTCTGTTTCCTTTGTTCCTTTGTTCAAGTTGCAGGTAATTTAAGGCTAAAATACCCATCCAACATCCCCTGACTCCACCAGAGCTTTGTTTCTGGATTTGATTTGTGTTTCTGCCAAAGATATGCACTGAATCCAGATTTGTCAAAAGAATTGACACAGAGACAGCAAATTCCATATCTTGAAATTTAGTTTGACTCTTTTTTAAAAAAAAATTGTGTGTATTTGATTGGTGTATGTAGTTACGGGATACACAAGATATTTTGATATAAGCATACAATGAATAATAATCACATCTGGGTAAATGAGGTACCCTTCACCTCAAGCATTTATCATTTTTCTTTGTATCACAAACATTCAAATTATAATCTCTTAATTGAATTTAAATGTACAATAAATTATTACTGACTGTAATCAATCAGCTGTTCTATCAAATACTAAATCTTATTCTAACCATATTTTTTACTTTTTTAAGAAATAAATCACCAGCCAACTTGCAGAGTTAAACAGAGATCTTTTTGGAACTAGTAATCGGGATAACTGGTAAGATATTCTCTCTTCAGGTCTTTTTTCTGCTTCAGTTATGGAGTTGCAATGTCTGTGAAAATATGTATCTATGGCCAGCTCATAGCTGAGTGAAGTTATTTGTGATTTTGGTCCTGGAATTTAAAACTCAAGGACTTTTTATTTTATACCCTTTGAGTGGCAGTGTTCCCCTTTTACTGGACCTTAGTGAAAGCAAATCATCTTGCAGAAGAGAACATTATTTTACTCAAATAACACTTCCCCATACTGCAATGGATTGCTTCTGAACCAAAACTACATAATGTGAGTATAAGAATTATCTGTAAAATATAAATGTCACATCCAATCAATGGCTCAAAACCTTATAACCCTGAAAAAAATGAGCAGCTGCTTACATAATTTGGAATATAAAAATGGTCTCATTTGCTGTTTGCTTTTTTTAAAATCACTGTTCTAATGGGTGCTACTTACAAGATTACTATCTGATACAAAACCACAATTCTGTTGTAGGATAGCTCATTTATAAGATGAGACAATTCAAAATCATACTACAGTACAATTCTTCCCAACTATGGAAAATTGGTGACAGCCCACAGTACTGTATGTTCAGTGGACTAGAATAAGCTCCAGTCAGCATTCTTTGCCATAGATTATGCCACTGAAATTTACTGGAACGTACCACTGTAACTGGCATTGTTAACAGCTCTGACAAATGTCTTCAAACTTTCTATTCCTAGACTATTAGAGGGAGATCATATGAAGAGTCAATTTCAATGGAGGCAAATACAACAAGTATGTGCCCCCCAGAAGGGACATATCTGGAAGAAAGCAACAGAAGAAATAATGCAGATCAGTGTTTATATTAGCTCACTGGATCCACACTTAAATTTGCCAGGAAAATATAGGTACCATGAAGACATTTGGTGCTAAATGAGGGATTTGTGGGGCAAACCACCGAGGCTCACAAGGCAGAGGCTATGTGGATGGACATGTTTTGAAGAGATCTTAGCACATAATTTGTGGACATGGACCAGCTTGTAATTGCCAGATAGACTTGGCAAAACTCTATTCTCAAACAGGTGCCAATTATGGATTATGTTTTCCATATACATTTTGTCAGAATCTGAAGATGTCATGCCTCTTGCAGGAGCAGGCAGCACATACATACAATGAAATTCCTAAATGACTTTTTTCCCTCTTTGTCCTATGATTGAAGATATTACAATCAAACAATAAGATTCTTTTTGTAGCTACTCAGGAATGAATACCTTAGCATAGTACTGCAGTGTAATTGATTGTTCAATGCCTGCCGTTACCCATAGGCAACACGCACTAATGGCTTTCTAAAATACATTTTACATGCTTGCTGGTCCAGCTGTGCTCTGATGTTGACACTCTGAACATTAATATAACCTGAAAAGCCCCCTCTGACTTGGCCAAGGTTTTAAGTACTTTCTAGCACAGTAGGGAAAACCAGTGGAAATTGTTCTATCTGGTATGTTAGGAAAGAATTTCTGCACCTTATCTCTAGGCATTCATCTCCATTTTCTGCTCCCAAAGTGACTCCAGTGAATGGCAAAGGAGGTTCACATTGCTTAAATTGGGGATAAGTAGATAAGACAAGCACAGTATTAATTCTCTTTGTCCTTCAGGATGGTCCTACTAGCCTCTCCCCTGAAGAAATAACTATAATGATAGACCCACTTGGAGTGATTATACATTTTTGTTGAATGTCCACTCTGAAGGTGGAAAATATTTCCCTAGTCATTGTCCCTTATCAGAGGATTCCACATGCTGAGCATGTGCTTATCCATTTTCGGGAGCACTATTTGTGAACCCAGTGATTCACTCCTGTCTTCATTAGACTTTATTTCTCCAAGAAAAAGGTACAGTGTGGCCAATCCCAGCAAGAATAACAAAGCGCCATTAATCAAGATTAAACAAATTGTATTCACAGAAGAAAGGAGGAAACTCATAGAGGAAGTGAGTGTTTACATTGAAAACATTTGTCATTCTCAGTTTGTATTCCATATACAGGCAGCTAGCCTTGAACAGCCTCCTCTGACTATGGTAGTCAGTACAGACAGCTCAGCTCACAACATGTATTTATTATAATGTTAAATTTGTCATGCTCAGCATTACATGGCACAAAAGTGGTTTTGTGAAACCACTTCCAGATAATGCCTTGGGAATCCCTTCTTTCTAAAATTACCAGAGGCTCCAGTTTGTTCTTGATAGTATTCCAAATAGTCATACTAATGTGTCAAGCTCTCTTAATCTTCTCCAGAAGACAAATGCTCTCATTTTTCTTCTTGGCTTCTAGTATGTTGTACCTCTAATATTATTAAAAATTGATGAATATTTTACTTAAAGTCAAATGAATTACTTTTCCAGATAAAGAAGTTTATGTTAGATGATCTCCTATGGGCCAAGTGTTATACTGAGGAATGATGTAAGTTTTATCTCAGATGGCCATGAGGTTGGCCCTGATCCCAGCTCACCTAGGAATTCCAAATCTTCCAGCTGATTTTAGCAGCATTCATATGTAATTTCCCTAACTGAGCTCCAAAGACATTTCAAGGTTGTTTCCTGAATTTAAAGTCCTCTGTTTCCTCGAAAGGAGTTCTCTTCACAGTATATTCATCTTTGCTGCCACAATTAAACCACTCTTTTAAATAACTATGGGAGCTAAAATAATTCTGTGCTCTTTGATCTTTCTCTGCTCAGACATTCTCAATCTGATAATTACTATTTTGTTTTGTTTACATGGAGATAACTGTATACCTTGGACAATATGCAATAAAACCTAAAGAACACAGTACTTCTTACCTGGAATGATTGCAAGGAGAAAAACTGCAAAGATAGGATTATGGAGGTGGTTATTTAACCTGATTGGGAGACTGGTTGTATATAGGAACAGTGGGGGAAAAAAAATCAATCTATCATCTGGAATCAATTCTCTATTTCAAGAGAGTTAGCAAGCTAAGTGGCATAATAGGAATGAGAAATATAGAGAAAGTGAAGGCGATTGGCTGACTCTGCATTCACTGGAGCATTTAAAGAGAGCATGTTGACACTAGGTTGAAATTATCTAACTGAAATAGGCAGCTAAATAAGTTTTTGAGTCACCACTCTAGAGTTCCAAATCCCTCAAGCATCCATCAAAACTTTACATACTGAAAGCAAGGGTTCTCAGCTTCTGCAAGATAAACCTTGAAATGCAGTTTTCTTTTCCTTATTTTTCCTCCACTCCCTAAATATGCTTTTGCAATTTTCTGTGGATAATTTACACTTGAGGGTGAAAGTATGTTCAATTTAAGCTCCCCCTTCAGCAGAAATGGCTTAAATGATATTTCTTCCCACAGGCCGCAATAATCTTTATGACAGATAAATGGCAACTTCAATGTATTGAGAAAATGCAATATTCCAGACATTTTTACATGCTAACACATATAATTCTCCCAAAACACTCTATGAGGTAAAAAAAAAAAAAAATTATCCCAATTTTACACTTGTGGAGTCTAAGGCTTACACAGGTTAAATAACTTGCTTGGGGTTGTAAACCCAAGTGAAATTTTTAGAGTGGCATTGACTTGTTTGCTGAGCTGTGCTGAATGTCTCCTTCTACCTTCTAGACTGTTTTAGTATTCATTCATTCCAGCTAACTTGTACTCTTGGATTTTTTTTTTTTTTTCCTGAGACAGAGTTTAGCTCTTGTTGCCTAGGCTGGAGTGCAATGGTGCAATCTCGGCTCACTGCAACCTCCACCTCCCGGGTTCAAGTGATTCTCCTGCTTCGGCCTCCCAAGTAGCTGGGATTACAGGCATGCACCATCATGTTTGGCTAATTTTGTATTTTTAGTAGCAATGGGGCTTTGCCATGTTGGCCAGGCTGGTCTCGAACTCCTGACCTCAGGTGATCCACCTGCTGCGGTCTCCCAAAGTGCTGGGATTACAGACATGAGCCACCATGCCCGGCCATACTCCTGAATCTTTATAAACTTCTACACTATTCACTCATGGCTGCTCTATTAACATTTTTTTTCTATTTCTGTGAATTTAAAATAGAATGCTTTGACACATTGGTGTACCATTGTGAACGAAGTACATCACAAAGTTTCTGTTTCTGGCTAAGATGGAGTACGTAGGAAGATAATTACCCTCCCACCTGAAGCAACAAAAAATGGATAAAATAAATTTAAAATGGTTTTCAGGCTATGGAACAAGGAGAAGAAACACCAATGAAGATTGATGTATTCCCTGAGTTGTAAGAATAGAGCTGAGAGTCCAGGAAAACATCAGCTAGATGCCAATGGGCTGAATGTTTGTGTCTACCCAAAATTTCTAAGTGGAACCCTAAATCCCTAATGTGATGGTATTTGGAGATGAGCCTTTGGAGAGTGATTAGGTCTTGATGGTGGAGCTCTTAGATGGGAGTAGTGCCATTATAAACAGAGAGAGGAGAGCTTGCTTCCTCTCTTTTCTGACGGCAAAATAAAGACACAGAGAAGATGGTCATCTGCAAACCAGAAAGAGAGCCCTTACCAGACACTGGATCTGCTGGTGTCTTGACCTTGGACTTGCCAGCCTCCAAAACTATAGGAAGTAAATTTTTGTTGTTTAAGCTACGCAGTCTATGGTATTCTTTTATAGCAGCCTGACCTAATGCACTAGAAATCACAGGACAGAAAGGCAAACATGAGGAAGTCAAGAGATTTCTCAGAGGATTATCCCCAAGTGTTCAGCAGAATGCTGAATGGCACACATGTGAGAGAAAACTATCAAAGATTAGGAAAGCACTAAAAAAGATTAGAATAATAGTGTCTGGCACACAAAAAGTATAAGGAATAGCTTATGTTAACACTGGCCAAACTGGAAAGGCTCATAATTCATGAATAACTGGATAGAGTCCTAAGAGGTGTTTTCCTTCCGTAGCTGGTAACAAAATAATTAACACTATACCAAATCCAGGTCTTGTTTCTCCTGGCAAATATCAATATCAAGATATAAAATATCATATCACACGAGAACAAAGCTCAGAAATATTGAATACAAACAGTCAGCACTCAAAAATGTAAAATTCACATTATGTTGCTGCTAATTACAAAATATCAGACTCTCAAAGAACCAGGAATATACAACCCAAGGCTGAAAAACATAAATTACTCAAAACTGATTAAAATATGACAGAAATCTTATGCAACAATATTTAAAAATTTTTCTTACAAATGTATTCTGTTCATTTGTTAAGCAGACAAATGTAAAGCATAAAAGAAGGACCCAAATCAAACTTTGAGATGAGAAGCAAAATCAATGAGATCAAAATATACCCGGTGTGATAAAATCAGGTATTTTGGAGGGAAAGATTAATGAACCTGAAAACACAGCTGATTTAGAGAGAAGTATCCTGCACGTAGAATAGTGTTCAATCTGTTCCTAATGCCAACAGTTATAAACCATTATAAATTAAATGGACATTTAAATGGCTTAACATAAAACAACAGCAACAAAAAACAAAATAAAATGAAATTAATATGCAACTTTTATTAACGCTTTGCTGTTACGATTGCCAAATTAAATTTTCCTGAAATATATCTTATTGAGTTTTATCTTCTTTAATTTAATATATTTTATGCATAAATAGAGAGGTAGGAAGGAAACAGGAAAAAAAGTATACATTTTCCAGAATAGAGAAGGAAAATTGAAAATTTTATTTTTGTTGGTTGAACACTGTATTAGGATGAGATCATAAGATTCATATTCTTTAAGGAATAGGGTGTTTTAGTATGTTTGTGTCTCTGTGTGTAATAGACACAGCTAAGAAAATATTTTTAGAATGATAAAGCTATCCTATATGATACTATTATACTGGAATCATAGTTATATGACTAGATACATTACACCATGCATTTGTTAAAACCCGTAAACCTATAAAACACAAAAATGAAACAATGTATACAAATTAAAGAAATACTGAAGAGTATCAGTATCTCTGGATGGACTTCAGAATGTGCCAATAAAATCTAACAGTATTACAAATGTATGATACAACCTCACACAAGGAGGTGGGAGCTGAAGGTGCTGCACTGAGTCACTTTGTTTTTGAGTGGAAATGTAACTGCACAAGAATTGCACTTTAGTTGATAAAAATCATTCCCTATGGGGTTACAGGCTAACAATTCAGAAACCACTAAACACGTTTACTGAAATTCAAACTTATAGTAAATAGATATTTGATGGTTAAATCAGTGTTTCTTACTACTGGACTGAGAAATTAAAAACAAGCAACTGAGGAAGGCAAAATGTATCCAAGTGGTAAAATTTTAGAACAGGAGACATCAGAATGACTTCATGTTATCTTAATATAGATGTAGATGTATGCTCATATAAATTGTCATATATAAGGTATGTAAAATTCTTTGTATATACACATATTTCCTTGCTCTGTCAACTGAGACGGCCTAAAACGAAAGGCACCCAGAAGCAATGAACACATCTAGCACCCATATCTTTATTATGATATTATCATCCAATAAAAAATTAGTGCACCTTGGAGAAATGTGTGATTATAGGACTGGAAATGGAAATATACAAGGTTAGACTGTATAACCTTGTAGTAATAGAATATGAAGATGTGCTCAAACAAAATAGAGCAAAACCAATCAAACAAACAAAGGACAAAAAAAAAAAAATCCCCCAAATATGAGTATGTTATAGGGAGACATTTACCAATGGAAAGATCTACTCATGGCCAAACCTGAAACAATAAAAACCACAAACTAATGTAGTATTGTATTTTAACCGTTAATATAAAACAGTATTCATAATGTCATACTGATATAAATAAATCACTAAAAACTAAGTAAAACAGAGAAAATGGAAAAATCTCCTGTGCTGAAGAATTCTAATTTTTTCAAGTAGATTTTTTTTTTTCAAAGAGGTGGAGTGATAACTCCATACTCTTCAAATTTGGGTTATGTATAACTTTCTTCCAAAGAGTATAGTATGAGAAGAATGAAAAATGAATCATTTCACAGTAGGTAAATATTTTAAAAAAGGTTTAGTAAAATCACATAATCTTGTGTTTTAGATTGTGGTAACTGTGAAATATTTGCACAATAGAATATTTACTGGAAAGAAGGAAAACTCAAAGGCCAGAAAAAGTATTTGAAAGGCATGCATAGAAAAGGTAAGAGATGTCGGGGTCTCTGGAACTAATTAGCTAAAGGAAAACATAGAAACAAGGTATTTGTCTTTACTTTTTATTTCACTTTCCATCATAATTCTGTAAGCTAAAAATTACTTAACATAGTAAGATTTTTATCTTTAACTCGGTGAAAGATAATAATCATAGGTAATTATTGTATATTAACTGAATGGAACACAATAATAGGTTCTTAGTTGACTAGTAAACAGCACACACAAACACACACTCATTGCATACATTTGAACAGTACTAGATGTAATACTAAATAAATATAATTTCATTTGCTTATGTTGCTTTGTATTCTATATTAAACTGGTGAGTAGCTACTGAGAATAAATACTTTATTTGAAGTCTGCTGTACTTCTTTCATGATTGTTGTATTAAACTCCTTTTGTGTATATTTTATAACCGGTCAGGTTTTGTAATAAATAAAATCACAAGATATTTTATAATTAATTTTAGATGCTGCTAATTTTCTATAGTGTGTTGAACTCCTGGACTTAATAAAAAAGATGCAATGAACTATATTGTATCTTTACTGATAATTATATAGATTTATTATAGTCTGTCAGAAAGTTTGAAATAGCGTTATTTGTTGTCTAGCCCTTGGATTATTTCTAAATATGAAATTTTATTTGATAAGTTTATTTTATATTTAAAAATGATTTGCTTTTTATTCTAGATCCATTTAATTCTCTGTTACCTAGAAAACCGTATTTGCCTGATGTGTATGCACAATGATCTCATTTAAGTTGGGTCTACTCTGAATAAATGTGATAATCCAAATCGGTTCATTTCACCATTTCAGCACTTACTTTTATTTGTCAAGTGGCAAATACTTCATTAATTCAAAGACATACTTCGTCAATTTGATTGCCTATCTTGTTGGTACAGCTGCTTGTTTTCATAATCCAGTTGCATATTAGGGTATTTGAGTCTGTAGTTACATGACCAATCTTGTTTGTTTGCTGATGACTCTCTGCTTTAATAATTGAAGTCATCAGTGTATGAAAATGTGTGTTTTGCAAACACTGATCCATTGACCAAGCTGTGTGTTGGTACACTAATTAATAGTATCTATATTAAAATGCTTTCATAAAAAAGGTGGTGCTATAATATAAAATAACAGAGTTACAGCACATTATTTGCAATGTAAATATATAAACTAGTGGAATCTATAAATAACTTTAAATATATAGTGAGCTGTATTTATTGCAATAGAAAATTTTAAGCAAGGCAATCACCTGTCACCTTTTTCCGCCTAAGGATTTGTTTGGTGCAAAAGATGCCATTTAAATCATTCTCCTGAATCAATAAATTTTAACAAGACAGAGTACTTTTCTGTATGTTTTATACTATGTTAGCAAGGTCATGAGAAAGGTCAATCAAAGTTAGAGAAGGCTTTGAAGAAAATATATGAATATATGAGTTGACTTGTTTCTATAAGTCATTTTCTAAACAGGTAAGTTATAGAATTTCATAGACAATGAGAAAAATGAATAATAAAATATCATTGAGTTCTGGTTTGACATTTAAGCGTCCTGGACATTGTAATTCCATCCTAATAAGTAAAAGCTCAACAAACCGAAAGTAAACAACTCTTTTTAGATCTGTCATAAAACTGATGTCACAAGGCAAACTGTTGCCCCAAGAAGAAGCCATCACAGAAACAAGTTCCAGGGTAGAAAACCTGATCTGTAATTGACAATTTGTTGCAGGCTTAATGTGGACAAGTCTGAGAGTTGGGAAATTCAGGGTGCTCAGCCTTAGGGGAACACACTCACACTTTTCACAGTTTTACTTCCAGGAGTTCTACTATGTTCTCACAGTAAAAATCTGAGGAAAATTCCCTCTTGATTCTGGCAATGGGAGGGGAGGAGTAGCCATTTACAAACATGACAAAGCATTTTGTTCTTCTCAACAAGGCTTGCCCTCATGAGAAACTACTTTACCAGAACCTAACATGTTGAAATTTATCAGAGTTTCACTAATGTTGGGGAAGGGAATTATCCAACTCTGGCCTGCTTTAGCCCTCTCTGTGGGGGAAGATAAATGCATAACCCCGGCTACTCCTAGCCTTCCATGTGGAAAAAGAAAAATACCAAACTTCTACCTTCTCTAATTGTCTTTGTTACCTAAGGTGGGGGCAGTACTGAAAAGCACTCATGAAGTTCAGCTCAGGGTCCCAGTATCACTAAATGACTGAAACCTAATTATAAGACTGTAGAATGCTTCCTCCTTGCCCCCACACATTACCATCACATTACTAAAGGCTGCTTAAGAAAACACAGTTTGAAGGGACAGAGCAAGCGTCATAACCAGAGTCACATATTAACTAGAATATTGGAATTATCATACCAAAAATCTAAAATAACTATGAGTAATATGCTAAAGGCTCTAACAGTGACAGAAATTCCCCAGAAAGAAACAAAAATAAATGCTAGAGATAAAATACACTGTAACAGAAATAAAGAATGCCTATCATATACTCAGTAGTAAACTGGACATGGAGGAGAAATGAAGCCCTGAGCTTGAGGATATGTCAATACAGATTTTCAGAACTCAAAAGCAAATATAGAAAAGACTAAAAATATTATTTGAGAACTTTGGGACAATGATAAAAGGTGTAACATACATGTAATGGGAATGCAAGAAATAGAAAAAAAGAGAGAAACAAAGGAAGAAATATTTGAAACAGTAATAACTGGGAATCTCTCCAAAGTAATGTCAGACATCAAATCACAAATCCAGGAAGCTCAAATCCACCAGGCCGGGCAAATGCAAACAAACAAACAAAACAAAACAAAAAAACCCACACCTGAGCATATCGTACAAACTGCAGAAAATCAAAGATTAAAAAGATAATAAAGGAATACTGTGAACAGATCTAGGACCACAAATTTGAAAATCTAGATGAAATAAACCAATCCCTGGAGAGGCACAATCTGCCAAAACTCATACAAGAAGAAATAGATAATATGAATAGACCTATATTTATTAAATAAATTGAATCAATAATTAAAAACCTTCCAGAAAAGAAAGTACCTAGCCCATATGAATTCACTGGTGTATTCTTCCAAACATTTAAGAAAAAATGTTACCAATTATATACAATCTTTTCCAGGAGAAAAAAACAGAATGAAAACTTCCTAACTCATTCTATGAAGCTAGCATTATCTTAATACAGAAACCAACAATCAAACGGCTGTAAAACTGCAAACCAATAACTCTTATAAACATAGATTTAATTCTCAATAAGATATTAGCTAACGGAATGCAACAATGAATTAAAAGAACTGAACTTCACAAACAAATGGAATTTAATCCAGGTATGCAATGCTGGTTCAACATTTGAAAATCAGTGAATGTAATTTATCACATTAACGGGACAAAGATGAAAACCACATAATTATATCAATAGATACAGAAAAGCAATTGACAAAATCCAATGCTTATTCATGTCAGAATCTCTTAGTAAAGTAGAAATAGAACTTCCTGAAGTTGACAAAGATTATCTACAAAAAAATCCAACAGCTAACATCATACTTCATGGTAAGAAACTTCAGAAACTATACTGATAAGATCGGTAGCAATGCCAGGGTTTTCATTCTTACCACTACTTTTCAACATTGTATTGGAAGTCCTAGCTAATCTAATCAGACAAGAAAAGGAAAAAAAAGGTATACAGATTGGGAAGGAAGAAATGAAACTGTTTTTGTTCATAGATAACATGATTGTCTATGTAGAAAATCCAAATGAATCAACAACAACAGAACTCCTGGAACTACATTATTACAGCAATGTTGCTGGATACAATTTCCATATGCAAAAGTCAATTTATTTCTTATATTCCAGTAATGAAGAAGATAAATCTAAAATTAAAAGCACAATGCCATTTTTATTAGCACTCCAAGAATGAAATATTTAGGTATAAATCTAACAAAATATATCAAGGTTTTAATCGAGGAAAACTACAAAGCTCTGACAAAAGAAATTATGAAACTAAATAAATTGAGAAATATTCCATATTCATGAGAAGAAAGACTCGCTATTTTCAGGATGTTGGTTGTTTCCAACTTTATCTATAAATCAATGCAATTTCAATAAAAATTCCAGAGAGTTATTTTGTGAACATGACAAATAATTCTAAAGTTTATATAAAGAGACAAATAACCAGAATAACCAATACAGCCTTAAAAGAGAAGAACACATTTGGAAGGCTGACTCTACCCAACTTCAAGATTTACTAACAAGGTATGTTAATCAAGACACTGTGATACTGATGAAAGAATAGAGAAATAGACCAAATGGAACAGAACAGAGAGCCCACTAATGGACCCACAGAAATACTGTCAACTGATGTTTCACAAACGAGCAAACACAATATAATGAGAACAAAACAGTCTTCAACAATTGGTGCTTAATAACATAAATCACAAGAAAAAATAATCAATCTAGACATCGAATTTAAATCTTTCACAAAAATTGCCCCACAATGGATCATATATCGGAATGCAAAACAAAAAACTATAAAACCTCTAGAAAATAACCTAGGATAAAATTTAGTTTGGCAATGACATTTTGTTAAAACACCAAAGAATGGATCCATGAGATGAATAATTATTAAACTAGACTTCATTAAAATTACAAAAAACCCCCAACATTTTGCTCCCCAAAAGACACTGTCAAAAGAAGAAGACAGCCATATAATGGGAGAAAATATTTGCATAAGATATTTCTCATGAAGGACAGTTATTCAAAAAATTCTTGAAATTCAATAGTAAGAAAACAAATTGATTTTTAAAAGTGGGCAAAAGATCTGAATAAACACCTCACTAAAAAGTACATATAGATAGTGGATAAACATATAAAAATTTTCAACAGCATGTGTCATTAATGAATAGCAAGTGAAAACAATAATGAGATACCACTACATACTATTAGAATTGTAAAAACCCAAAACACTGATACCACCAAATGATGGTGAGGATGGGGAGCAACAGAAACTCTTATTTATTGCTACTGGATTTGCAAAATGACACAATGACTTTGAGAAACAGTGAGACATTTTCTTACAAAAGTATAGTTTTACCATCTGATCCAGCAATCACTCTTTGATAGTTATCCAAATGGGTTGAAAACAGCCACACAAAAAACGTGCACATGAATACTTTTAGCACCTTTATTCATAATTACCAAAACTTGGAAGCAACCAAGAAGTGTTTCAGTAGGTAAATGGCTAAATAATTGTAGTACATCTAGACAATGGATTGTTATATAGAGATAAATGAGTAATCAACAAAATTTGAAGATTATAAGAATGACTTAAGAAAGTTATCTAAATAAATCTCAGGTTTTGGCCTGGTGAAAAGACCATACATCAAGATATAGGAATACAAGAGAATAATCAAGTTTGGGGAAAAAATGATAAATACATTTGGTATATAATGAGTACTTGCCAGTTATCTAAGAAAAGATGTTCTGTAGGTAGGTGTATAAACCATTCTGTGGCCCAGGAGTGACTGCTGTGATACAGATTTAGGAGAAATCACATCCACATTTAAGTGTTTAAAAACTGTAAGTCTGAATAAGGCTGCCTACGTGAATATATAGAGTAGGTAAGGAAAAAAATGGACAAAGGATTCCACTAAAACACTATTAGAATTAATAATCAAATTCAGCAAAGTTGTAGGATACACAATCTGTATACAGAAAACAATTGTATTTCTATATAATAGTAATGAACACTTCGGGGGAAAAATAACAAAGGTCGGAAATAAATATGAAACTTCAGATACTAGTGTATCTCTTTCAAAGGATTTTTTGGCACAAGAAAGCTATTATTTGCAACACCTTTTTCTTTATTCATTTATTTAAAGTCAACACATTTTCAAATTTAGCTTTACCATAACTAACTTTATAATACTTTTTGTGACATCATGAATTTTATACACAGATTAAAATTAAATTTAAAAAGATCTGTGAGTGTAATAAAGAGCTATGAAACAAAGATGCATATTATTAAGCAATATAAGCCAATCTGAAAAGTATATGCTATATGATTCTAACTATATAACATTTTGGAAAAAGTAAAACTATAGAGACAGTTAAAAAATCAGTGTTTTCAGGGAATAACAGATTGGAGGAGGAATGATTAGGTATAGAGTAGAGGATTTTTAGGGCAGTGAAACTATTCTGTATTATATTATAATAGTGGATACATGTCATTACACATTTATGAAAACCCATTAATTATAGAACACCAACAATTTATATGGAGAGAAAAACTCCATAGGGTTTACTCTTACGTTATTGAATCTTAAGGTAAACTATGTACTTTGAACATTTATGATGTGTCAATAGGGGGTCATATATTATAACAAATGTACGATTTTTATGTGGGATGTAGTTCAGGAGGCTGTGCCTGTGTGAGTGCAGGGGATGTGAGGGAACTCCCTGTACTTTCTGCTCAGTATTGGTGTAGACTGAAAAGAGTTCTAAAAATATTTTCTATTTTTTAAAAAAATCATTTAATTTATAAAATATTACAAATATTTGTTTTCAGATGACATATTGCTTACATCAAAAACGTTAAGAATCAACGAAAACATCCTTGTAGAAATAAAAACTATATTAGGTTAATATCAACGGATACAGAAATCAAGATGAATATGCACAAATAAATTATATTTTGTATGCTACAGAAAAATATAATATAATCTGACCTGGCATGGTGGCTCACACCTGTAATCCCAGCATTTTGGAAGGCAAAGGTGGGAGGACTGCTTGAACCCAGGAATTTGAGACCAGCCTGGGCAACATAAGAAGACCCCATCTCCACATATAATTTAAAAAATTAGCTTGGTGTGGTGGTGCACACCTGTAGTCCCAGCTACTTGGGTGGCTAGGGTGGGAGGATGACCTGAGCCCAGGCACTTGAGGCTGCAGTGAGCTGCGATCACACCACTGCACTCCCACCTAGGTAACAGTGTGAGACCTTGTCTCAAGAAAACAAAAGTAATAAAGAACAATATGATCTCAAAATTAAATTTGTATCAATCAGAAACCATAAAATACTTAGGAAAAACAGCAAAATATATACAAGATGCTAATATATTTCTACTGAAAACTAGAAAGCATTGCTGAGAGAAATTAATGAAGATAAAATTAAATAAATCATGTACCATGTTTAGCTATTGGGAGGTTCAATATTGTTGAGATGCTAATTATTCTGAAATCAGTGTATAAATTCTGCACAATTCCCCTCTGTCCCTAAAATTTCTACCATTTTTTTTCTAGCAGAAATTTCCAAATCTATTCTAAGCTTTGTATGACACTAGGAGCTACAGAAAAGTGAGTAAAACGTTTACATCTAAACAAGAACGAAGCTGGAGGATGTACACTAACTGATTTTAAGATTTGCTATAAAACTACAGTAATTAAGGCCTTATGATATATATGTAAGAATATGTATATGGATCAATGGAGCATAATTAAGAATTCAAAAATAGACACATTTCAATCATGGTGTTTAAGTAATATGATGGAGAAATACATTGTCTTTTCAGTGTATGAAGCTGTAATAACTGACTGTTCATATGGCAAATTGGACCTTGATCCTTACCTCATACCATATACAATAAATAATTTAAAATGTCAAGAGTGAGCATCCTTGTCTTATGCCTAATCTTAGGAAATGAAAAGCTTTTACTTTTTCATTTTTTAATATGATATTAGCTCTGGGCTTATCATATATGGTCTTTATTATTTTGAGGTACATTTCTTATATACTTTGTTTGCTGAGCATTTTTAAGATGAAAGAATGTTGAATTTTGTCAAATTCCTTTCTGATTTTATTGAGATAATTCTGTGATACTCATTAATAGAATGAATTTTATGATTCATTCTATTAATGAAGTATATTACATTTATTAATTTGCATATATTAGAACACATTTACATCCCAGGGATAAATCCCTTCTGATTATAGTGTATGATCCTTTGTTTGTGCTGCTAAATTTGGTTTGCTAGTATTTTGTTGACGATTTTTGCATCTACGTACATCAAGGATATTGGTCTCCAATTTTCTTTATTTGTGGTGTGGTCTGGCTTTGTTATAAGGATAATACTGACCTCATAAATTGAGTTTGAAAGTGTTCCCTCATCTTCAATTTTTTTTAATAGTTGAGGAAGATTGGCACCAATTCTTGTTTAATTGTTTGGTAAATTCACTAACAAAGCCATTTGGTCCTGGGCTTTTCATTTTGAAGAGGTTTTTAATTATTTATGCAATTTTTAAATTAATTATTGGTCTGTCCATATTTTCCATTTCTCCATAATTTAGCCTTGTTAGGTTGTGTGTACCTAGGAGTTTATTCATTTTTTCTAGGTGATCTAATTTGTTGGTGTGTAAATGTTCATACTAGTCTCTTATGACCCTTCTTACTCACGTGCCTTCTATTAACATAGTACTATGTTCTTGCCAAAGCACTTAGGTAAGTAAAAGAAGTAAAAAGAATCAAAATTGGACAGAAGAAAGTAAAATTACTTCTGTATACAGATGATATGATTCCATATTTAGAAAATTATAAAGACTATCTAAATAACTGTTAGAACAAATAAAAATCATTAAATTGTGTATACAAAATCAATATAAAAATCAATTGTTATTATATAAAAACAATTCATCTGAAAATGAAGGAACAACTCTATTTATAATACCTTAGAAAACAATAAAATAGTTAGAAAAAAACTTAAGCAATATGGTGACAGAGTTGTACCCTGAAAACTACAAAACATTAATTAAAAAAACAATAAGTGGAAAGTCATATTGTGTTCATAAACTGAAAGATTTAATATTGTTAAAATGTTCACATTATCAAAAGGGATCTACAGAGTCAATGCTGTTCTTATCAAAATCCTAATGGTATTTTTTTTACAGAAAATAATAAAATAAATTAATATGACACCAGAAAAACCCTAAATAGCTAAAGTGATTTTTTAAAAAATAATTTCAACTTTCATTCTACATTAGGAGGCTACATGTACAGGTTTGTTACATGGGTATACTGCATGATACTGAGGTTCAGGGTATGAATCCTCTCACGCAGGTAGTCAGTATAGTACCCAACAAGAGATTTTTCAATGCGTGAGCCCTCCATCTGTTCTCCCTTTACTAGTTCCTAGTGTCTATTATTTTCATCTTTATGTCCATGTGTACTTAATGTATGTTAGGCCACTCTTACATTGCTATAAATAAATAATTGACACTGGGTAATTTATAAAGAAAAACAAGTTTAATTTTGCAGGCTTTACTGGAAGAATGATGCTGACATCTATTCAGCTTCTGGGGAGGCCTCAGGAAGCTTACAATCATGGCAGAAGGAAAAGGGGGAGCAGGCATGTCACATGGCCAGAGCAGGAGCAAGTGAGAAAGAGTGGGAGCGCATGGTAACACACATTTTAAAATGACCAGATCTCACCAGAACTCGCTGTCATGAAGACAGCACCAACCCACAAGGATTTGCTTCTGTGTTTCAAACACCTCCCACCAGAACCCAGCTCCAGCATTGGAGATTACAATTAAACATGAGATTTGGGTGAAGACAAATATTGAAGCCATATCACAATGTCTACTTCCCACTTATAAGTGAGAATATGTAGTATTTGATATTCTGTTCTTGTGATAATTTGCTTAGGATAATGTCCTCCAGCCGCATCTACGTTGCTGCAAAGGACATGACTTTACTGTTTTTAATGGCTGCATAGTATACATGTTCCACGGTTTACATGTACCACATTTTCTTTAATCAATCCACCATTTATAAGGACCCAGATTGATTCCACATTTTTGCTATCGTGAATAGCACTGCAACGAACGTACACATGCATGTGTTTTTTGGCAGAATAATTTATTTTCCTCCTGGTATATGCCCATTTATTGGTTTGTTGGGTTGAATTGTAGCTCTCTTTTAAGTTCTTTGAGAAATCTTCAAAGTACTTTCCACAGTGCTGAACTAATTTACATTCCTTTTTTTTTTTTTGAGACGGAGTCTTGCTCTGTTGCACAGGCTGCAGTGCAGTGGCGCAATTTCAGCTCACTGCAAGCTCCGTCTCCCAGGTTCACGCCATTCTCCTGCCTCAGCCTCCCAAGTAGCTGGGACTACAGGCGCCCGCCACCACACCAGGCTAATTTTTTGTATTTTTAGTAGAGACGGGGTTTCACCGTGTTAGCCAGGATGGTCTTGATCTCGTGACCTCGTGATCTGCCCACCTCGACCTCCCAAAGTGCTGGGATTACAAGCGTGAGCCATTAATTTACATTCTTACCAACCGTGTGTAAGCATTCCCTTTTCTCCACAGTCTCGCCAGCATCTGTTGTTTTTTGACTTTTTAATCATAGCCATTCTGACTGGTGTAAGATGGTATCTAATGGTGGTTTTGATTTGCTTTTCTCTGGTAATTAGTAATGATGAATATTTTTCAAATATTTATTAGCTGCTTGTATAAATTCTTTTGAGAAATGTCTTTTGCCCATTCTTTAATGAGGTTGTTTTTTGCTTGAAGATCTGTTTAAGTTCTTTATAGAGCCTAGATATCAGGCCTTTGTCGGGTGTACAGTTTGTAAATATTTCTCCCATTATTTAGGCTGTCTGTTCACTCCGTTGATAGCTTTTTGGCAGCACAGAAGCTCTTTTGTTTCATTTGGTTACACTTGTCAGTGTTTGCTTTGGTTGTAATTGCTTTTGAGGACTTAGCCAAAAATTATTTGCCAAGGTCAATGTAAAAAAGGGTATTTTCTAGCTTTTCTTCTAGAATTTTTAATAGTTTGAGGTCTTACATTTAAATCTTTAATCCATCTCGGGTTAACTTTTATGTATGGTGAATGGTAAGGGTCCAGTTTTATTCTTCTGCATATTGCTAGCCATCTATCCCAGCACCATCTATTCAATAGGGATTCCTTTCCCCATTGCTTATTTTGGTGACTTTGTGAAAAATAAGCTTTTTGTAGGTGTGCAGCTTTATTTCTGGGTTCTCTATCTTGTTTCCTTGATCTATGTGTCTGCTTTTGTACCAGTACCATGCTGTTTTGATTACTATAGCCTATAAAACTCTAAATACTCTGCCAAAAGGCTCCTAGAACTGAAAGTCACATTTCTATATAGTAGTAACATTCAAACTGAGAGTTAAATCAGGAATATAATCTTATTTATAATAACCACACAAAATAAAATATCTAAGAAAAAATGCTGTTGAAAAAAATCAGAGGTGACACAAATAAATGGAAAAACATTCTATGCTCATGTATTTGAATAATCAATATTGTTAAAATGACCATACTGCCCACAGAGATTTACAGATTAAACACTATGCCTATGAAACTATCAATGCCGTTTTTAAGTATAATTTTTAAAAATATTCTAAAATTCGCGTGGAACCAAAAGAGTCTGAAGAGCCAAAGCAACTCTCAGCATAAAGAACACAGCAGGAGGCATCATACTGCCCAACTTCAAGGTAAAGTGATACTGAGAAAGGACAACAAAGCTGGAGGCATCACGATTTATGATTTCAAAATATATCACAAATTTACAGCAATTAAAACTATGTGGCACTGGCATAAATACAGACATCTAGACAAATGAAACAAAATAAAAAGCTCAAAATAAACACAATTGTTTACAATAAACTCATACTTGACAAGGATGCCAAGAATATAAAATGGAAAAAAAAACATTTCTTCAGCCAATGGTGCTGGGAAAACTGGATATTCATATGCAAAAACCACGACATTAGACCCTTTCTTACACCATACACAGACAAAACAAATTAACATGGATTAAAACTTAAATTTAAGACTTAAAACTGTAAAAATTCTAGAAGAAAACATAGGAAAGCTTCTTAATATGTTTCGTGATGATTTCTTGGATATTATGCCAAAACCACAGGAAACAAAACAAAAATACACGAGTAGGACTATATAAAACTTAAAAGCCTCTACACAGCAAAGAAAACAATCAACAGAATGAAAAGGTAACCTATGGATTATGAGAAAATATTTACAAATTTTATATCTGGCAAAAGGTTAATTTCTGAAATATTTAGGGAACTCCAACAACTCAACAGCAAAGTAATAATAATAACCCCTTTAAAATGGGCAAATGACTTTAGCCAATATTTGTTTATAGAAGACACACAAATGGCCAACAGGTATATGAAAAGATGTTTAATATCATTAATAAACAGGAAAATTCAAATCAAGACCATAATGTGATATCACTTCTCATCTGTTAAAATGGCTACTATCAAAAAAAAAATCAAAAGGTAACAAGTGTTAGCAAGGATTTGAAGAAGTTAGAACTCTTGTATGTTGCTGGTAGAAATATAAAATAGTGCAGCAGCCGTGGAAAATAGTATGAAGGTTTATAACAACTAAAAATAGAATTACCATATGATCCAATAATCAAATTGAAATCAGAATCTCAAAGAGATATCTACTGTCCTGTGTTCATTTTGGCATTATTCACACTAGCCAGAATATGGGAACAATCCAAATGTCAATCAACGAATGAATAAAGAAAATGTGGAATAAAAATCAAGTGGAATATTATTCAGTCTTGAAAAAGAAGGGAATTTTGTCATTTACAACAACATGGATGAACCTGAACATTTTGCTCAGTGAAATAATTCAGTCCCAGGAGAACAAGCACTGCAAGATTCCAGTTCTATGCAAGGTCTGAAATAGTTAAACTCATTGAAATAGAGAATTCAGTTATGGTTGCCAAGGACTGGGAGGTAGGGGATATGGGAATTGTTCCATAGGTATGAAGTTACGGTCAAGCTAGATAAATATTTCCAGAGATATACTGTATAATACAGTACCTGTAGTTAATAGTACAGCAATACACACTTCGATATTTTATGATGTGTAAAATATACAATAATGAAGTCATTTAAAATTTTGCCATCATAGTGACAAATTTGCTTTCGGTGAATCTGAATTTTTTTGCTGAAAAGAATACAGCATCACTAAAAATTTTTTCTAATATATACACAATGCTTATATAAATTGTTATATAAATTGTTACATATATAAAACCATATATAACATATGTTATAACATATATGTTATAACATATGTAACATATTCAACATATATAACATTTATATATGACATATATAAATATATAAAACATATATATTATATATAAAACATACATGTAACATGTTATATATAACATATAAACCGTATATAGAACATATATATAACGTGTCATATATAAATATAAATAAATAAAACCATATATAACATGTTATATATAACCATATATAACACCATATATAACATATATATAACATGTTATATATATGGTGTTATATATATAAAATGTTTTATGTATTTATATATGTTATATATGAATGTTATATATGTTGAATGTTACATATGTTATAACATTATATATAACATATATAATGTTATATATGTTATATATATGTTATATATATGTTGAATACATTATATGTAACATTCAATTATGAGTATAAATCTGACCCAATATTTTAATTAATGGTAATATAACCTTCAGATATGCATGCTTATGTAGACCAAGAGACAAGTTCAAGTAGAGCTTGAGTATCCCTTATTCAAAATGCTTGGGAAAAGAAGAGTTTGGAATTTCAGATTTCTTTTGGAATATTTGTATCTACATAGTGAGATATCATGGGGATTTGACACAAGTCTAAAGAAGAAATCCATTGACATTTTCTATATATCTCATGCAATAGCTTGAGGTAACTTTATACAATATTTTAAGTAACTTTATACAATATTTAAAATAATCCCATTAAATTGGAGATTGAGGTGAGATGAACACTTGAGGCCAGGAGTTCAAGACCAGTCTGGTCAACATAGTGAGACCTTGTATTTACAATAAATTTAAAAATTTTCCAGGCCTGGTGGGCACCTGTGGTCCCCACTACTCAGGAGGCTGAGGCTGAGGAATACTTTGAGCCCAGGAGTTCAAGGCTATAGTGAGCTATGATCCAGTCTGGGGAACAGAGCAAGAATTTGTCTCTGAAAATAAATAAATAAATAAAAATAATAATTTTGTGCATAAAATAAAGTTAGTGTACATTGAACTGATGCATCAGAAAGCAAAGGTGTGTCACTAGCTCAGTCACTCTTGTAGACAGCCTGTGATTACTTGACATTGCCATCATGCCGTGTGTGGAAAAGATATATTGCAGTTGCAGGGGACTGGGACAGTGTTTTTTTTCTTGGGGACACTGAAGAAACTGTGTGTCGTGTGCTGAAGTTTCTACTGAGACCTGCCACATAAGGTCAGGTGTGGAATTTTCCACTTGGGGTGTCACGTCGGTGCTCAAAAAGTTTTGGATTTTATACCATCTCAGATTGTAGATTTTCAGATTAGGGATGTTCGACCTGTATGTGTATGTCAGTGCTATCGATAATAGCTCAAATGTTGAAAACAATTTATATGTACATCAATACTTTTAGAAATATGTAACATCTCCATGCAATGGAATACTATAGAAATGAAAATAAACCATCTTGAACCGCCCTCAGCAACATAGACGCATTTCACAGACACAATATTGAGAAAAGAAGCCAGTTGTAACATGCTACATATTGGGCTGTTATTGATATAAAATATTAAAAAAGAATAAAACTAGATTTTAGCTTTCAAAGTAAGGATTATGGTTAACTTTGAGAATTGAAGAGGATTAATGGTGAATTTCCTGGATTGTCAGTATTATTCTAACCGTTGACCAGGGAAATAGTTACATGGGACTGACAATTCATTGAGCTATATCTTTATGATTCATAAAATGTACCCATATGTGTTATAATTCATGATAAAAAGAGTAATTTTAAATTTTAAAGTAACTGAACTGTAAAAAAAAATGAAGAAGTTGTATGGTGTCTTTTTTAAATTATACTTTAAGTTCTAGGGTACATGTGCACAACATGCAGGTTTGTTACATATGTATACATGTGCCATGTTGATGTGCTGCACCCATTAACTCATCATTTACACTAGGTATTTCTCCTAATGCTATCCGTCCCGCTTCCCCCACCCCACGACAGGCCCCTGTGTGTGATGTTCCTCACACTGTGTCCAAGTGTTCTCATTGTTCAATTTATACTGAAACAAGTAAAAGGTTCCTTGCAAGGCATCGGAGTCTCTTCACACATTGTTTCTGGTCAGTTTGGATGTGTCTCACTGTTGCATCCCATATCCTGTAAGCCACTTTCTCTCCTGTCATCAATTTCATCCAAATATATTTCCTTGACTTTCTTCAAGCAACATTTTGTTGTTGTTATTTTGGTTGTTACTCAGCTTTTACTATAGCATTCTATCTACTGTTTCATGTATCATGTCTTGAATTCCAGCTTTTCTAGTTATTTGATGCTTAAAATCACGCTTTCTATACAGGACAATTTTTTCCTGTGATCTTGAATTCTTTAGAAGTAGCATTGTTCTAGACAAGCCTCAGTGTTGGATGTGAGAGAGTTTTTCTTATCTATTTTCTGAAGAAGAAATACTCATCTGTTCTAACTAGTTACTAAATGTCCAGTGTATTACCTTTTTCTTGCTGAGACTTTCATAAATTATTTCTTTTTGTGACTATTAATGAAGAAACAACATGTGGCTCTCAGGGTGAAAATGGAGGCTTTGGAATCAGAATCTAATGAGCTTAAATTTTAGTCTTGGACAAGTCATTTAACATGTAAAACTCAATCATCTGTAATGTATACTATATTTCAAGCTTACAGTCTTTCTGTGAAAATTTAATAAGAAAATATATGTAAAGTGCTTAGAGTAATGCCTTGGAAACATAAAATACAATGAATCTTTCTTTTATATTTAATTTCAACCAAAAAATAACAGTTATTTTTGTGACTGAAAGGACAAATAACATCAATTCTGTCTGCAATTTCTGGGTGGAGAAATTTAATTTCCCACATTGGCAACTATAATTCTTCATGCTGAACTCACATGCTGCACAATGAAAATATAAACTGATATTCAAAGAGATGACTTAATTTAAAAATATGTTTAAAGAAATGATCAAAACATTTAGAAAGAATGATGTAGTCGCTAAAATAACTTATTTTATTTCAAGACTCCCCAGTGGATTTTCAACAGTCCTTTCATAATGATGAACTAAGAACATTTTCAGATTAGCTGTGTAGAAAGATCAAACTAACTTTACATTTGTTGAGGTAAAAAATAAATGTTAGGTTTTGTGTGACATACATTGATATTTCAAAATTACTAAATTGTTTACCATTAAGTTTAATAGAAACATCTAAAATATAAAAGGGAAAAAACCACATCTCAGTTAGTTACATTGTTAAGTATGAAAGAATGCTGGCAATCCATTTTTTCCTTATGGAAATATGATTTTATAGTCTAGACAATTTTTTTAATCCAAACAAGCAATTTCTTACTGATATTCTGTTTAGAATAATGTGATTACTTGGGAACTTAATTTATGATTGAAAACCATAATCTTTTTCCATATTACATCATATTACATTATTTTATTTAATAAAAAGCATGAGCTAAATGTCTCAGAATAATGAATACTTGGTTAATCTAGGTAATAACCAATGTTTTCAGCACTACTTTCCCCTAAAACAAAGCACAAATATTTGAGGAACTATAAAGTATTTCACTTGTCAGAAAAACGTATAAGGGCTCCATATAGAATCCGAGGCATGGCGCAAGAACTTCATTCTAAATGGTTTTATAATCTTATTGAGAATAAAAATCATATGACATGTCAAGAAAAAAATTAATGCCTGTGAATAGATGGTAACAGAGAGGACAACAGAGGCTTTAAAACCTACCCAAGTTAGCAAAAATGACATTGAAAATTCTAATCGACAGATCAATTGATTGATATAGATAGATAACTGTTTAAAAGTCTACATATTCATTTGCAAATTATGCAATAGTTTAAAATCTATTAATGCTAATGTATTCAATATTACAAACCATGAGGCAAATTATCTTGCAGGCTTTAAAATTTGTTTCCTTTTTACTTTCTCAGCTTCAACTTTTCCCATTGTTGCATTATAGACACTCAGCTGTGTTTAGATCCCCATCATGCAAGGCTGTTACATAACTATAAGCATTTTGCATCAACTTTTCTTCACTTAGAAAGACTTTAACCTCTTTTGTGTGAGCTGTCCTACATTTTATGTCTTATTTGAGTTTCTCTGAATCTAGCACATGAATACAAATATTCTAATTATTGCCAGTTTATTAGCATAGCTCATTAGATAACATTTTCCTTCTGCTGCAAAGTACAAGAGTGCATAGGACATATATTATCTTTTTATTGTTGTTATTCTTGTTTTATCCTCTCACACACATAGTCAGTATTCAGGAAATGTTAATTGATGTACTGATTAGAAATTATGAAGCAATTCTTACCCTTAATTTGTACAGAGGTGTACATGAATGGCCACTGGATTTTATTGCCTATGCTATAAGTAGAGAAATCCAAAGCCACGTCTAAGGCCTCATCAGGACATTCACTCAGCATATAACTCCAATGGTCTTGTTGCATTAAGGGTAAGGGCATGAAATAAAAACGTGCTCAAATATGAGCTAACTCATAGCAAATTTTCATGGACTTCTTTCTCCCAGAAGAAAGACAGGATGACAAAGACATGTACCATTTTCTTTTCAAGAAACACATCTGGAAATTCTTAAAGTGTAAAACCTTGAGTTGTGCCTTCTTTAAGGAAAATTGTTGTTAGAAGAGGGAGCTTACAACAAACAAGTTTACTATTAGAGTTATCTGATACTAAGCACATATTATGCACAGTGAGGATTAAAACAATTGAGATATGTCTCTGTAATTTGGTATACCTATTTTTTTGATGCTCAGATTTTGAAAAAGGAATTCCGAGAATATTCCTTAAAAAACACAGTTATTTATTAATATTTGCAATTATTTTGCCATGTCTGTCACTGATTTCCTTTGTATTCTTGAAAGATCAAATATCTCTGATTAAATATTTTTTAATAAAATGATAAAAATAAATTTTTCTATTCAAAGAAAATCAATTTTCCTTGATGCATCAAGGTTATAATATATTGTGTTTATTTTACAATTACAAAAATAATGCTTCATCCCACTGTATACTTGGCTCAAAGGTAGAATATGTTAACTATTTTCTATAGTTCTACATTCCAGAATCAAGGTTAACTTATATAATATCATGGGTGGAAAAAACTCAAAGTTATCTTTTCCAACAAAAGAAATTGCTTGTACTACAGTTTGCATTCAGTATCTACCTGTTACACAAATAATCATCAACAGACAGAGAAGGGTGTCCTATAGCGTGAGTGAATCCATTCTTTTGTGACTATTTCCTTAACAAGAAATGGTGGAGTTATATCATTCAGTCCTTTCTCATATATATAAAGGCTAGCTTTTATTACGCTTTAAAAAAAACCTTTCTTTTTTATGTGTCACGTTAAAAGTAGTTGAGAATATAAATGTGTTCATCCCAGTAGAGTTGCAAAAGATAAATTATTTTTCTCATTAAATGAATCTGGTTATCAAATCTGATTTCATTTCAAAAATAAGCTTGGGTATATATGACAATTTATTTTTTCCATTGATGTTTGTTTTTTCTCCTTAGTTTCTCCAGTGGAACACTTAAATTTTTTTAAAGACAAACAAGATAAAAGGTGGCATACTATAAATAAAAGTGAGATTAGTACTCACAACAGGAGACTGGTCTGTATGAACAACGTACATGTCATCCTAATGTTTCTCATATCTATTACTTCAGTGAAAAATACTTATTTGGATATCTCCTGCCTCTCAGATACTCTTCTAGTCAATGGAGATATGTGGGAGTGGAAAAGATCGATGTGATTCCTGATTTCTGGCTTTGCTGTATGAGTGGAGGGAGCAATTAGCAAGCAAACATATACATGAGTTGTTTTCAATAGTGATAAACATTATGAGTAAAATAAAGCAGGAACATGTGATGAAAGTAAATGAACATGTTAATGATATTGAATTATTCTGGAAGGTCTCTAAATAGAGGCATTTCAGAGCAGCACTGGATCAATGTAGAACCATCAGCTAAGTCCAAAGAAGCCCAATTAAAAGAGGCTTTAATTTAGAGCGCAAATGCCCTGAAGTGAAAGTATTTCAACTGCAATGGGAAATAGTGGAGTAACACAAGATCAAAAATGCTACAAATTTTTATGATATTTTAAAAGCCCATTCTGGGTGTTAAATGAGTACAAAAGTGGTGGTAAATTGACATGTGAATGATGAATGTGAGTAAAAAATGGTAATGTGAAGAGTAGTGAAGTGATATCACTCAGACTATATCTTGGCGATATATATGATTTGTTAATATAGTAAATAAGTAAAAATAAAAGAGAAGCAGAATGCAGACACAGAATATCTAGACTGATCACACCATTAGCTTATGTTTCAAAATTCCCATCTGTTTTACTGAATATTTAGCTTATTATTAGTGCTTCTTAAAATAACAAAAACACCAGGTTTTAAGATTTCAATAGAAAGATCCAACTTCTAACTAATTATTGAAGTCAGACTGAAAGAGGCATTTTAATCATCTTAAGCCAGTCTTGGGAATCAAAGCGTCCTTAGCTCTAATCTGACTGCTGACATTGACCCCCTTTTTTGCCTTTGGAAAATTGCTTAATCCTTTTGCTTGTGTTTGCTGTTTGTAAAATGAAGATAATAAGCTGTTATTATATAAGTTAGAAATGCTATCACATAAAACAGAATAAACTGACAAATATATCATGCATATGGAATTTATTGTGAAGCATCTTATTTTGCAATATACTTAAGAGGTATTTCAAAAAGTAATTAAAACAGATTAGAAATTTTATAAAATATGTTTAATTTTATGAGCCATTAATTAAATACAAAGATATCTAAATATTCATAACAAAGCATAACTTATTTTAAAGTAAAAATTATATTCTTTGAAAATTTAAATATTTTTGATATGATTATTTGGAAAAATATTTGGTAGCGATCAGCCTCTAAGTTAGTTTGAAATAATGCATAAATGAGAAACTTGTTTTTCATCCATGGATACAAATATAAAACATAACAAAAATAAATAAAAATAAGAACAAAATCATTTACTCTAAACAGAAGCTATCCACTTTATTTTTCCCCAGAAGAATCTTCACTTATGAATACAGAATTTGTACTAAAAACCAGTAACTACATTTAGGGGTCATACAGTTTACATAATCATTTTATTATATACACACCCAAAGTCATTAATGACTACTAGTAATCACATTTTCTCTTGTTCAAGAGGAGAGCAGTTTATTTAGCCATATCACATAATAGAGTGGTAGTAAAGGGTGAGTCACACCAAGATCTATAATTAGTTTCAAATAATTTCAAATGTGAATAGTGATATAAAGTAATCGTACCATGAGGCAACTGCATTGTTCAGTAATTGCATATTCAGTTTTAATTTGTAACCTCACCCCCTTGCTGCTTGCATTTTCCATTTCTACTGTGAGTAAAGTTTACATCAGTTACACAATATGATGTGGAATGCAAAGGGGAATGCTCTGTCTACTCAATAAAGGTAGTTTACATTCAGTGTCTATTCACAATTGTGTAGCCACTAAGATAAGCACTTTAAGTACATAATTTAATCTAATTTTCTCAAGATTCATATGATAATTCTACAAGGGTATTCTTATAATTACCCATTTTAATAGTTGAGAAATCTGACACCACACTAATTTCAATATCTAACGTTACAGAGTTAGTGAACGGGTGAGACTCAAGGTTTTCAAATTCCAAAACTATATATCTTCTTTGTACTGCTAGCATTATGACATATAACTTTAGCATATGTGCATTTCAGAGTTAACTTTAATACTGCTTAAAAGTGTAAACATTGAATGAACTGTCTTTTGTTAAGAATTTATTTCATCTAACTTTCATGACGATCCAATATATGCTTACAGCAAAGGACAAAGGAATATGAATGTAAAGATCACCATTTTGCTTAAATTGTATACATTTACCAAATTGATATCTACATGAAACAGAATACTATATAGAATAAGTAACTGTAAATAATTAGATAATTTGATCTTGGCACATCATTCTACTCTAGGTTATGCCATTAAACAAAATTTTACTTTGAAAAACATAATAAGGATTTTGCTTCAGTACTATGCTTTGATTTTATGCAGAGACACGAAATCTGGCTAATTTCAGAAAGCACAGAAAGGATCAAGGGACAACTAGAGATTTCAAAGAAATGCTAAATATTTAAGACTCAGATAGAATGGAAACAAGACATTATATTTAAAGATAAAATCTAATTAGCAGGAATTAATGAAAATATCCTCAGGACAGTTTGTGATATAAATAGCATACAAATTTTTATTGTAATTTTCAACATGAGTCAAACTTCAAGAGACAGAGTCTCAGGTACCAAGATTGAATGTCATGTTCAAGTGAACAAGAAATTTTAATTTTTCCCAATTAGCAGCTGCTGCAAGACTTTTCCTTAGTTCAGCTAAAGACAAGGTCCTTGGCTGTCCCACAGCCACAAGAATTTAGGCTTGCAGGTGGTTTGAAGGGTGAGTGAAGCAGGGTTTTATTGGGTGAAAAGGAAAAAAAGCGGGGGAAACAGGGATCTCCCGCAAGTCCAGAGTTCCTGCTAGAGCGCTTCCTACCCGCAGCTTGAATCCCAGGTCCTACATAGGAAGAGAAGAAGCCTGGCTCCTCCCTGCTGCAAAGGGCACTAACTTTTGTGGCTCCACACCAGGGCAGAGGCCCCTGGAAGTTTCTCCAGGGACCCCTCCCACCTGGCTGTCTCATTTCCCCCTCTAAAATAGTGCATCTAACTGCCTTTAGATTAAAGGACGAAAACTAGTCTTAACTGCTTCCTGCTGATGAGGGTAGTGCTGTTTAGGGGAAATGGCAGTCAGAGCTCTTTCAGAGGCCTACCTAAGTGTCCCCAGCAGAAGGGCCATGGTCTGAGGCACTGGTTGCATGACCATTTGGAATTTGATGGCATAAAGGCAAGAACAGACAAGCCAGGTTATTAGAAAACATGTATCAAAATGAAACAAGGGGAGAGGTAAGGATACCTAAAAAATTCCAAGGCCTTTTACCAGTTTACACAGGGAGAGGAAAGCCAAAAGCCCAACTGAAAAAAAAATAAAAAACTTTACCTGTTTGCTGGCATGTTGGGCTTCCCGGTTCCCTTCCCCTGAGTCCAGTCCTAAGACAACCAGTTTAAGGTTTGGGGAATTAATTCTTTTGAGTTTGGAGGATGCATCTGAGGGGAGTGTCCTGTAGTAAGGAGACATGATTAACTATTATTGAAGAGAGAATTGAGAAGAAGAAAGAAAAAAGACGGCACCTCTTAAAAGAGTCCCAAGGGTTCAGGATGCATTTGAAAGGGGTACTAACTGAAGATGAATGGCTACCCATCTAGAAAGAGGGGAGCAGGTGTCCCTGACTCCCTTCTCTTCCTAGCAGATACCCAGGGTACGTGAGGGAGAGAGGGTAGAGCTTCCTCTTTCCCTCTTCCATCCTTGTATTCCCGAGTTCTGGCAACTTTGGCAGGTAAGGCCATGAGTATCAAAGCGACTTGCACCCATGAAGCAGGGGGGCCTAGGGGGTGGGACTCACTCACTCTTACCCACATATGCCCTATCTCCCCTGCTGTCAGTAGCCTGGGATTCCCTGGACCTCATTTATCTCATGGATATGAGCGTGGCCTTTATCCATAAAACAGGAAGCTTGGAGTTGGCTTAATCGGCAGGAATCAGCCACGCTCACCTGCACTGTGCCTTTTAACTTCCATTATCATCTGCCTCTGGATCCCTCAGATCCAGTTTCCTTTTTTTTTTTTTTTTTTTTTTTTTTTTGAGACGGAGTCTCGCTCTGTCGCCCAGGCTGGAGTGCAGTGGCGGGATCTCGGCTCACTGCAAGCTCCGCCTCCCGGGTTCACGCCATTCTCCTGCCTCAGCCTCCCAAGTAGCTGGGACTACAGGCGCCCGCCACTACGCCCGGCTAATTTTTTGTATTTTCAGTAGAGACGGGGTTTCACCGTTTTAGCCGGGATGGTCTCGATCTCCTGATCTCGTGATCCGCCCGCCTCGGCCTCCCAAAGTGCTGGGATTACAGGCGTGAGCCACCGCGCCCGGCCTCCAGTTTTCTTTCCTAGGGCTTTGACCCTAAGCTTGGAATTGAGTCTGGGACAAAGATGTATCTCGGAGTGGGGGTTGTATGGACTGCTTGTCATAAGCCAAATGCTAAGGGGAAACTGTGGAACTGAGTCCTCACCCAACAAGGGAGAGAAAAGGATGTCTTGTGACACACCCAGATAACTGGTAGCTATAGTTATGCTTGCTAGGATTTAGGTGCATGGTGCTTGGTTTTAGTTAGTTCCCTTGGTCTTACTTTCCCAAAAAGGAAACCTCTGGGTGATGGGAACCCTATGTATTCCATCACCTGGCAGGATATGCATAATTGCTCAGGACTAGAATATTGATCCAGATTTTTACATTACCTATCCCTTTTGTTCTTTTTGAGCTGCCACTGGAGAGTGTTGGTTGGCTCACAGAAACAAGCAGGGTTAGCGTAAAATGTAGGTGAAAACTTAAAAACAACTAGTAAGTTTAGAATTTAATGACAAATATAAGTTTTGAAATATGATTTCTCTCTCTCTAATCGCCATGTTTGTTTTAAAAAAAATAATCATAGGACTGAATGGCTTGCAAAATAGACTGTAGACTAATACTTGGCCTGATTATTTGCATAAAGTGCAGCAAGAATAATTATTTCTACATAGGCCTTTTGGATTGGCTTTGATGGAATTTTGTTCCACAAGGAATCTCAGATAAGACTTTTTAAAGCTAAGCACAGCCATGAGTTTATCCTCGAATACCTGTGAGGTGGATGATTCTCTCCTCTTAAGGTCCTAAGGTAAGCTTGGAGCTCCTAGACCTGTTAGAAAGTGACATTCTTTACGGACTAGAGGTCAGGAACCCTACACAGGGACTGTGTAGGCAAGGGTATGAGGCCATTTTCCTCACAGGGGTTTTATTGGTTCTGCAAGTCAAGATTGACTCCTTAAAGGGAAGCATACCCTTACAGTCAAAGCTTTGGTAAAATAACCACTTTCTCCAATGGTGTTCTGTTGCAAATGAAAGTGGATTCTTATTGCACTGATGCAAACAACTATATTTCCCTAAGTTAAGAACACTCACAGATAGGTTCCAAATTCTAGAGGAACCAGGAAGAGAGAAACAAACATGCTCCAAATTTTGATCACAGGGGTATATCGTACTCAATTATTAAAGGCTGTAAATAATTTAAAATAAGTTTCCTTGACTCTGAAAAACAAAACAAGGATAAGCAATATTCCAAGCAAAAGTCAAAAAGGTTGCTTCAGCTTCCTGAGTTCAGTCCATTTAGTTAACTCTTGTTTTGCTTGATATTCATGAACATTTCGGCTCTTTATGAGTCCTATACATTTTCCTTTATTCCAATGCTACAGTTTCTACAGTCATCAGAAGCCTCTATTTGAGAGCACCTGTTAATGTTCTGTAGCTCATTATAAACCATTTTTGAACAGGATTAAAACAAGACAACAATTTTCTGTGAATAGCAAAATGTCCAGGGTAGTTACAGTTAGAAATACAATTGACAAAGCAGTTTGGTTATCTCTGTGGTTTACAATAACTTAACATAAAAACCTTAATTATGATTGATAGCACATACTTAGACATTAGAATTTTAGAAATTCCATACAATTTGAAACATATATTAGCATTATTCACTAAGATATAACCTAAAGAAGACTGAACATCATTTTGTCAATCTCATGTAACTAAACATGTAAAATAATCCTGTTTACCTTTCTTTTCTGGACACTTCAGGGACCCTTTGAAATATTCAAAAAGCCAGGTGTCAGGGAAGACAATTTTGAAACTGAAGTTTGATTAGGGGAAGCCTGTTAAATGTTTAAGGTTTAAAACACTTGATATTATAAAATAGAATTCCAGATTACCATAAGTGATTTATTTTGCAAAAATGATGACTCAGAAATTGTAAAGAGGCAAAAAACTTTTATAACCCTTTATAAATTTTGCCACCATGCTTGACTAATTTTTTTGTACTTTTGGTAAAGACAGGGTTTCGCCATGTTGGCCAGGCTGGTCTCAAACTCCTGACCTCAGGTGATCTGCTCACCTCGGCCTCCCAATGTGCTGGGATTACAGGTGTGAGCCACTGTGCCTGGACGAGGAATATATATTCTGTGGTTGATGGGTGGACTTATTCAACAGATGTCAGCTGTCCAAGTGTCCAATTTAAATCAATATTTTCTTTGTTAGCTTTCTGTCTCAATGATCTAATGCTGTCAGTGTGGTTTTGAAGTCCATACTATGATTGTTTGGCTGTCTATGTCTTTTCATAGGTCTAGAAGTACTTGTTTATGAACAAGTATTTTATGTTCTTCAATAATGGGTGTGTATATGTTAGGATAGTTAAGCCTTCTTATTTTATTCAACTCTTTATTATTATGTAATGCCCATCTTTGTCCTCTTTTACTGTTTTTGGTTTAAAGACTTTTATTCGATATAATAATTGCACCCTGCTCTTTTTTTTTTTCCATTTGCATGATAGATCTTTCTCCATCCCTTTATTTTGTGCCTATGGGTGTTTTTATCTGTGAAGTGGATCCCTTGAAGACCAGAGATGAATGAGTTTTGTTTTTTAATCCAACTTACAGCTCTTTGCCTGTTAAGGTTTCTGTTGAAAAGTCTGTGGTAGCCTGACGGCATTCTCTTTGTATGTGATCTGATCTTTCTTTTTTTTTTTTTTCTAGCTGTTTTTAAGAATTTTGTTCTTTCTGGTTGACTTTGGACAGTCTGTTGACTACATGCCTTGGTGATGCTCATTTTGTATAGTATTTCAAAGTGTTCTCTGGATTTCCTGTATCTGGATGTCAATGGTTTAGACCACTGACATTCGAGGTTAATATTGAATATTACTATTCACCATTGTGAAGCTGTTGGTTGGTTTCTTTGTAGTTTATATTGCATGGTTGCTATACAGGGTCTGTGGGTATGTACTTAAATGTGTTTTTCTGGAAGCAGAAAACATTCATTTCAATATTTAAAACTCCCTTAAGAATTTCTTGTAAGGATCTCTTGTAAGGCTAGTCTATTGGTAACAAATTCCCTTAGCACTTGCTTCTCTGGAAAATATTTTATTTCTCCTTTACTTATGAAGCTTAGTTTGGCAGGATATGAAATTCTTGGTTGGAATTTCTTTTCTTTAAGAATGCTGAAAATAGGCCCCCAGTATCTCCTGCTTTGTAAGGTTTTCACTGGGATGTCTGCTGGTAACCTGATGAGGCTCCCTTTTTATGTAATCTGACCTTTTCTTCTAGCTGCTTTTAAGATTTTTTTTTTCTGTAGTGTTGATCTCGCACAACCTGTTGAGTAGATGTCTTTGTGATACTCATTTTGTATTGTATTTCACAAATGTGCTCTGGATTTCTTGTATTTGGATGTCAAACCTCTCCAGCAAGATTAGAAAATTTTCTTGGATTATTCCTTCAAGTATATTTTCTGTGTTGCTTAATTTTTTCTCCTTCTCTCTTAGAAATGCCAATAATTCATAGGTTTTGTTGCTTTACATAAGCTCATATTTGTCAAATACTTTCTTAACTTTTTTTTTTAATTTTTGTCTGTCTGGGTTGATTTGAAAAACAAATGTTCAAGCTATGAAATTCTTTCTTCTGCTTGGTCTAGTCTATTGATAAAGATTTCAATTGTATTTTGAAATTCCACTAGTGAGTTTTCAATTACAGAAGCTTTGACTGATTTCTTTTCAGAAGATTTAAACAATAATATCCGAAACAATCAGTGGTTTCAGGTTGAGCCCTTAGGTTTCATTTTTATATGTAAGATGAAGTGTGCATAAATTTTTATGATTTGTCAAAAATCCTATCCCTTAAAATTATAATTTTTATTGTGCTTAACTTCTCTATTTATTAATTTATCTCTAAAAACCAGAATCAGTATACATATAGGTATAAATATAGATATAGATCAGTAAGCTATTGTTTCTCACAATGTCACTATGAAACTTGGTGGCTTAAAACACCACGAATATATTATTTCTAACAATTTTATCTTTCAGCTGGAAGGCTATTCTGGTCTGAACTTGGCTTACTCAGATATTTGTGCTTAGTTACAGATTGATAGGATGCTCAGCTGAACTTGGGTGGACACTATTTGGCAATTTTGATCAGGCTGATCAAGGATGGTTGGACCAGGAGAATTGAACTGTCCCCCATGTATCTCACATCATCCATCAACATACACCAAACTTGGTTCTATTGAAGTGGCAATTATATGGGAGGGTGAAAGGAACCTGCCAAGCTTCTTAAAGTCTAGTCTTAAATTAGGCACAATGGCATTTTTGGTGGGCATAGCAGGTCACAAGACCAGTCCTCTACGTAATGTCAGAAAACCAGTTTTACCTTGCAATGGAATTGATCTTGAGGAAGAATTAATTAAGGAAAATTTGTCAGGGCACAGTGGCTCATGCCTATAATCCCAGCACTTTGGGAGGCCGAGGCGGGTGGATCACCTGAGGTCAGGAGTTCGAGACGACCCTGGCCAACATGGCGAAACCCCAACTCTACTAAAAATACAAAAACTAGCTGGGCATGGTGGCAGGCGCCTGTAATCCCAGCTACTCTGAAGGCTGAGGCAGGAGAATCGCTTGAACCCGGGAGGTGAAGGTTGCAGTAGCCAAGATTGCACCATTGTACTCCAGCCTGAGTGACACAGTGAGACTGTCTCAAAAAAAAAATAAGGAAAATTTATAAATTAGTATACAAAAAATGATTCTTACTTCATAGCATTGTGGACAATGTAACATAAAAGACTGTGTTACTACATAGAGGATCCATATGCTAGTTCTTGTACAGACAGCTGTTAACACAATGCAACATAGGATGCATATCGTTAAGGAACATTTAAACTAAGTCTGTAATTTAAAGAAAACCCCACAATCATCAAGTACTTTTACTTATAGCAATGCTATTGACATTTCCTATTTCTAATGTTGTGATTAATTCTGTGAAGAATAACAACAGCATCTATAGTAATATTTAGTTATACAGTATAACTCATATATAGTAATATTGAGTCAATATAGTAATATTGAATTAATGGTTTATTAATTTATTTCTTCATACACTTCAGAACTATAGTAAGAACTTTATGTCCAGCGTCTCATGCTTAAAATAAGGTCTATGAGGAAGGCACCTTTTTTATAGTTTGTTTTGTGCACAGAGGCATAAAAATGTTCAATAACTTTTAATAATAAAAAACAAGTAAGTGGTGAATGATTAGGTAGATGCCAGATGACTTTGAAAGCATTGAAATCACTGATGATTCATATGAATTTGATATATTGAAAACAAAAATGCAGATAAATCACTATACGGAGTAATTGCTCCATAAAGATTAATGTCAGTTACACTTTTATTTTCTCACTGTAAGATAACATAAATAAGTTAAGTCCTGTAGTCTAAAAAATAGTATGTTTTTATTGATGGATTTCAAGTTTTGTGTTCAGTTTATTAGTATGTGGCCATAAACATGCTAATATGCTAGAATACTTGTAATGTGGCAACCATAAATTTCCTGTACTAGGATAATTCCTCCTTACTACTTCTATTTTTGTCTGTTTTGTATTTTATGGATACTTGTATTGGTGTTTATGTGTTTTCCACTGGCTCAACAAATTTAAAAAAAATCACTGTTTCTTATAGTCTAATGTGACTTAATGAAGAACAATTTACTGTATAGTCTTATTTGGGTTTAACAAACCTCTTGCAGATGTGTAGCATATTAAATGAGAGATATAGTTCTTTAGTCTGCATGTAAACATAATTAGGTTTTTAATGTTCCAAGTTCTTGAAATTTAATAGTCCAAGAAAATGTTTTTATATAACATAAAGTTATCTTGAAAGAAAATAGGGGGGGAGGAGCCAAGATGGCCGAATAGGAACAGCTCCGGTCTACAGCTCCCAGCGTGAGCGACGCAGAAGACAGGGGATTTCTGCATTTCCATCTGAGGTACCGGGTTCATCTCACCAGGGAGTGCCAGACAGTGGGCGCAGGTCAGTGGGTGCGCGCACCATGCGCGAGCCCAAGCAGGGCGAGGCATTGCCTCACTTGGGAAGCGCAAGGGGTCAGGGAGTTCCCTTTCTGAGTCAAAGAAAGGGGTGACGGACAGCACCTGGAAAATCGGGTCACTCCCACCCGAATACTGCGCTTTTCCGACAGGCTTAAAAAACGGCGCACCACGAGATTATATCCCCCACCTGGCTCGGAGGGTCCTACGCCCACGGAATCTCGCTGATTGCTAGCACAGCAGTCTGAGATCAAACTGCAAGGCAGCAGCAACGCTGGGGGAGGGGCGCCCGCCATTGCCCAGGCTTGATTAGGTAAACAAAGCAGCCGGGAAGCTCGAACTGGGTGGAGCCCACCACAGCTCAAGGAGGCCTACCTGCCTCTGTAGGCTCCACCTCTGGGGGCTGGGCACAAACAAACAAAAAGACAGCAGTAACCTCTGCAGACTTAAATGTCCCTGTCTGACAGCTTCGAACAGAGCAGTGGTTCTCCCAGCATGCAGCTGGAGATCTGAGAACGGGCAGACTGCCTCCTCAAGTGGGTCCCTGACCCCTGAACCCCGAGCAGCCTAACTGGGAGGCACCCCCCAGCAGGGGCACACTGACACCTCACACGGCAGGGTACTCCAACAGACCTGCAGCTGAGGGTCCTCTCTGTTAGAAGGAAAACTAACGAACAGAAAGGACATCCACACCAAAAACCCATCTGTACATCACCATCATCAAAGACCAAAAGTAGATAAAACCACAAAGATGGGGAAAAAACAGAACAGAAAAACTGGAAACTCTAAAAAGCAGAGTGCCTCTCCTCCTCCAAAGGAACACAGTTCCTCACCAGCAACGGAACAAAGCTGGATGGAGAATGACTTTGACGAGCTGAGAGAAGAAGGCTTCAGACAATCAAATTACTCTGAGCTACGGGAGGACATTCAAACCAAAGGCAAAGAAGTTGAAAACTTTGAAAAAAATTTAGAAGAATGTATAACTAGAATAACCAATACAGAGAAGTGCTTAAAGGAGCTGATGGAGCTGAAAACCAAGGCTCGAGAACTACGTGAAGAATGCAGAAGCCTCAGGAGCCGATGTGATCAACTGGAAGAAAGGGTATCAGCGATGGAAGATGAAATGAATGAAATGAAGCGAGAAGGGAAGTCTAGAGAAAAAAGAATAAAAAGAAATGAGCAAAGCCTCCAAGAAATATGGGACTATGTGAAAAGACCAAATCTACGTCTGATTGGTGTACCTGAAAGTGATGGGGAGAATGGAACCAAGTTGGAAAACTCTCTGCAGGATATTATCCAGGAGAACTTCCCCAATCTAGCAAGGCAGGCCAACGTTCAGATTCAGGAAATACAGAGAACTCCACAAAGATACTCCTCGAGAAGAGCAACTCCAAGACACATAATTGTCAGATTCACCAAAGTTGAAATGAAGGAAAAAATGTTAAGGGCAGCCAGAGAGAAAGGTCGGGTTACCCTCAAAGGGAAGCCCATCAGACTAACAGCGGATCTCTCGGCAGAAACCCTACAAGCCAGAAGAGAGTGGGGGCCAATATTCAACATTCTTAAAGAAAAGAATTTTCAACCCAGAATTTCATATCCAGCGAAACTAAGCTTCATAAGTGAAGGAGAAATAAAATACTTTACAGACAAGCAAATGCTGAGAGATTTTGTCACCACCAGGCCTGCCTTACAAGAGCTCCTGAAGGAAGCACTAAACATGGAAAGGAACAACCGGTACCAGCCACTGCAAAATCATGCCAAAATGTAAAGACCACCGAGACTAGGAAGAAACTGCATCAACTAATGAGCAAAATAACCAGCTAACATCATAATGACAGGATCAAATTCACACATAACAATATAAACCTTAAATGTAAATGGACTAAATGCTCCAATTAAAAGACACAGACTGGCAAATTGGATAAATAGTCAAGACCCATCAGTGTGCTGTATTCAGGAAACCCATCTCACGTGCAGAGACACACATAGGCTCAAAATAAAAGGATGGAGGAAGATCTACCAAGCAAATGGAAAATAAAAAAAGGCAGGGGTTGCAATCCTAGTCTCGGATAAAACAGACTTTAAACCAACAGAGATCAAAAGAGACAAAGAAGGCCATTACATAATGGTAAAGGGATCAATTCAACAAGAAGAGCTAACTATCCTAAATATATATGCACCCAATACAGGAGCACCAAGATTCATAAAGCAAGTCCTGAGTGACCTACAAAGAGACTTAGACTCCCACACAATAATAATGGGAGACTTTAACACCCCACTGTCAACATTAGACAGATCAACGAGACAGAAAGTCAACAAGGATACCCAGGAATTGAACTCAGCTCTGCATCAAGCGGACCTAATAGACATCTACAGAACTCTCCACCCCAAATCAACAGAATATACATTTTTTTCAGCACCACACCACACCTATTCCAAAATTGACCACATACTGGGAAGTAAAGCTCTCCTCAGCAAATGTAAAAGAACAGAAATTATAACAAACTATCTCTCAGACCACAGTGCAATCAAACTAGAACTCAGGATTAAGAATCTCACTCAAAACCGCTCAACGACATGGCAACTGAACAACCTGCTCCCGAATGACTACTGGGTACATAACGAAATGAAGGCAGAAATAAAGATGTTCTTTGAAACCAACGAGAACAAAGACACAACATACCAGAATCTCTGGGACGCAATCAAAGCAGTGTGTAGAGGGAAATTTATAGCACTAAATGCCCACAAGAGAAAGCAGGAAAGATCCAAAATTGACACCCTAACATCACAATTAAAAGAACTAGAAAAGCAAGAGCAAACACATTCAAAACCTAGCAGAAGGCAAGAAATAACTAAAATCAGAGCAGAACTGAAGGAAATAGAGACACAAAAAACCCTTCAAAAAATTAATGAATCCAGGAGCTGGTTTTTTGAAAGGATCAACAAAATTGATAGACCACTAGCAAGACTAATAAAGAAAAAAAGAGAGAAGAATCAAATAGACGCAATCAAAAATGATAAAGGGGATATCACCACTGATCCCACAGAAATACAAACTACAATCAGGGAATACTACAAACACCTCTACACAAATAAACTAGAAAATCTAGAAGAAATGGATAAATTCCTCAACACATACACTCTCCCAAGACTAAACCAGGAAGAAGTTGAATCTCTGAATAGACCAATAACAGGAGCTGAAATTGTGGCAATAATCAATAGCTTACCAACCAAAAAGAGTCCAGGACCAGATGTATTCACAGCCGAATTCTACCAGAGGTACAAGGAGGAACTGGTACCATTCCTTCTGAAACTATTCCAATCAATAGAAAAAGCGGGAATTCTCCCTAACTCATTTTATGAGGCCAGCATCATTCTGATACCAAAGCCAGGCAGAGACACAACAAAAAAAGAGAATTTTAGACCAATATCCTTGATGAACATTGATGCAAAAATCCTCAATAAAATACTGGCAAACCGAATCCAGCAGCACATCAAAAAGCTTATCCACCATGATCAAGTGGGCTTCATCCCTGGGATGCAAGGCTGGTTCAATATATGCAAATCAATAAATGTAATCCAGCATATAAACAGAGCCAAAGACAAAAACCACATGATTATCTCAATAGATGCAGAAAAAGCCTTTGACAAAATTCAACAACCCTTCATGCTAAAAACTCTCAATAAATTAGGTATTGATGGGACGTATTTCAAAATAATAAGAGCTATCTATGACAAACCCACAGCCAATATCATACTGAATGGGCAAAAACTGGAGGCATTCCCTTTGAAAACTGGCACAAGACAGGGATGCCCTCTCTCACCACTCCTATTCAACATAGTGTTGGAAGTTCTGGCCAGGGCAATTAGGCAGGAGAAGGAAATAAAGGGTATTCAATTAGGAAAAGAGGAAGTCAAATTGTCCCTGTTTGCAGACGACATGATTGTATATCTAGAAAACCCCATTGTCTCAGCCCAAAATCTCCTTAAGCTGATAAGCAACTTCAGCAAAGTCTCAGGATACAAAATCAATGTACAAAAATCACAAGCATTCTTATACACCAACAACAGACAAACAGAGAGCCAAATCATGAGTGAACTCCCATTCACAATTGCTTCAAAGAGAATAAAATACCTAGGAATCCAACTTACAAGGGATGTGAAGGACCTCTTCAAGGAGAACTACAAACCACTGCTCAATGAAATAAAAGAGGATACAAACAAATGGAAGAACATTCCATGCTCATGGGTAGGACGAATCAATATCGTGGAAATGGCCATACTGCCCAAGGTAATTTACAGATTCAATGCCATCCCCATCAAGATACCAATGACTTTCTTCACAGAATTAGAAAAAACTACTTTAAAGTTCATATGGAACCAAAAAAGAGCCCGCATCGCCAAGTCAATCCTAAGCCAAAAGAACAAAGCTGGAGGCATCACGCTACCTGACTTCAAACTATACTACAAGGCTACAGTAAACAAAACAGCATGGTACTGGTACCAAAACAGAGATATAGATCAATGGAACAGAACAGAGCCCTCAGAAATAACGCCACATATCTACAACTATCTGATCTTTGACAAACCTGAGAAAAACAAGCAATGGGGAAAGGATTCCCTATTTAATAAATGGTGTTGGGAAAACTGGCTAGCCATATGTAGAAAGCTGAAACTGGATCCCTTCCTTACACCTTATACAAAAATCAATTCAAGATGGATTAAAGACTTAAACGTTAGACCTAAAACCATAAAAACCCTAGAAGAAAACCTAGGCATTACCATTCAGGACATAGGCATGGGCAAGGACTTCATGTCTAAAATACCGAAAGCAATGGCAACAAAAGCCAAAATTGACAAATGGGATCTAATTAAACTAAAGAGCTTCTGCACAGCAAAAGAAACTACCATAACAGTGAACAGGCAACCTACAAAATGGGAGAAAATTTTCGCAACCTACTCATCTGACAAAGGGCTAATATCCAGAATCTACAATGAACTCAAACACATTTACAAGAAAAAAACAAACAACCCCATCAAAAAGTGGGCGAAGGACATGAACAGACACTTCTCAAAAGAAGACATTTATGCAGCCAAAAGACACATGAAAAAATGCTCATCATCACTGGCCATCAGAGAAATGCAAATCAAAACCACAATGAGATACCATCTCACACCAGTTAGAATGGCAATCATTAAAAAGTCAGGAAACAACAGGTGCTGGAGAGGATGTGGAGAAATAGGAACACTTTTCCACTGTTGGTGGGACTGTAAACTAGTTCAACCATTGTGGAAGTCAGTGTGGCGATTCCTCAGGGATCTAGAACTGGAAATACCATTTGACCCAGCCATCCCATTACTGGGTATATACCCAAAGGACTATAAATCATGCTGCTATAAAGACACATGCACACGTATGTTTATTGCGGCATTATTCACAATAGCAAAGACTTGGAACCAACCCAAATGTCCAACAATGATAGACTGGATTAAGAAAATGTGGCATATATACACCATGGAATACTATGCAGCCATAAAAAATGATGAGTTCATGTCCTTTGTAGGGACATGGATGAAATTGGAAATCATCATTCTCAGTAAACTATCGCAAGAACAAAAAACCAAACACCGCATATGCTCACTTATAGGTGGGAATTGAACAATGAGATCACATGGACACAGGAAGGGGAATATCACACTCTGGGGACTGTTGTGGGGTGGGGGCAGGGGGGAGGGATAGCATCGGGAGATATACCTAATGCTAGATGACGAGTTAGTGGGTGCAGCGCACCAGCATGTCACATGTATACATATGTAACTAACCTGCACAATGTGCACGTGTACCCTAAAACTTAAATAAAAAAAATTAAAAAAATAAAAATAAAAATAAAAATAAAAAGAAAGAAAATAATTGTGAGGTTTATTTCATCAAACTGGTGAATTCATGTGTCAAATTTGCTCATGGTAGAATATGTGATTATATAGTCCATCTACAGCATTCCATTTTATGGAAACTTTTTAGGCAGACTTAACTGATTACATAAATCAATATGTAGTTTTCACAAGTTGAAGCCTTCTCCTTTTCTAAATAAATGTATTTTAAGGACCCTTACAGTTTATGTCAATATTTTATAGGCATTTTCTTCCTCATTACTATAGCGAAGATAAATTTTTAATTTTTAGGTTGATTATTTTCACATCTTTAATTTATCCTCAGGTTAATGAATCTTCTTTGCCATTTTTAAAGCACAGACATCCAAGCTTATTGACAATTTCTCAGTAAGAGGAGGCCATGCAAGAAAGTCTTAATGTCAAATTTGCTTCTTCTGATTCAAAATGTCTTTCAAAAGAATATGTAATTCATCATGGAAAGAAAATATTGAACATACATTAAAAGCTTACACAGGAAAAGAATAATAAAATGATTTAAATATTCAATTTTTATTTAGTGGAAATGTATTATTATGTCACTTTTTCACTATTTGCCCATCTTCTGATAAATTATGTACCCTTCTCGGCCTTTCTATTGTGGAAAGCTGATCACTACATCTTAGTTTACCAGGGAGGGCTTCTTTGCTCTTCATTTTTCCCTTGGGTTCAGCAAGCAGAAAGCGTAGTAGAGTATTAGAAGGCAGATGAAGAAACACGTTGGAGATGTATCCCCCTTTGCGTTGCCATCATTGTAGCAGTGATTGTTCTGTTGTTTCAACTGATGTCAGGTGATCCGTTTTCCACGGAGCCAAGGTGTCTGGTAACACCACTTTTTTTTCTCTTTCAGGCTTATTGTGTGATGGGTCTTTACTGTGGCCAATACCAAAGTGTTTCATATTCCTTTGTGGTTCTTTAAACCTACCCACACTCTTTAAATCCTACATCCTTTAAAGTCCCTTTTTTGAGTGTGTGACAACTCTAATTGACATGCATTCTAAAGTAGTTATTTGAACAGTCTTATTGACAATAAAAGGAAACTATTGAAAGTCATATAATTTTAGCCTGCATTTTTCCCTTAATGTAAGGATAAGTGTGATTCACATGCCTTATTTTTTATTGTTCTATTCTTTATTCTTTTAGGCTATTTTAATTAAGAAAGAACAAAATTTTAGGGTATTTTTACTTCTGGAGTAAAAATAAAAATCTTTTCATTTGTACTTTTACAAATGTAGTCTTTAGAAATCAGAAAAAAATCAGACACTTGTACATACATGTTTATAGCAACACAATATGTCCACAGGTATGAGGACAATATGAAAACTTATTTTTATACAGGTGATATGGTTTGGGTCTGTATCCCCACCCAAATCTCATCTCAAACTGTAATCCCCATGTGTTGAGGGAGGGACGTGTAATCCCTGTGTGTGGAGAGAGGGGAGGTTGTCCCCATGCTGTTCTCGTGATAGTGAGTGAGTTCTCATGAGATCTGATAGTTTTATAAGTGTTTGACAGTTCCTCCTTCATATGCTCTCTTGCCTGCCATCATGTAAGACGTGCCTGCTTCACCTTCTGCCATGATTGTAAGTTTCCTGAGGCCTCAAAGCCATGCGGAACTGTGAGTTAATTAAACCTCTTTCCTTTATAAATTACCCAGTCTCAGGGTAGTATCTTTATAACAGTGTGAGAACAGACTAATACAACAAGTTAACTAGTGCCAAAAGACTAAAACTTGATAATTTGCAATTAGTATAATTTAGTTCTAAATAGCTGAGATTTTTCACATATTCCTTACTCTGCCCACAGGAAATGACCAAATTAAACTATTATTTATAATTTCTAAGAAATTATAAATTTTTGATCATTGTTGATTTACAGTCTGTTTTTTCCTGAAATTAGAATGACAACCATGGCTTTTTTCTGCTTTTTATGTGTTTGGTACATTTTTCTCCATTCCTTTACTTTGAGCCCATGGGTGTCATGGCATGTAAGATGGGTCTTTTGAAGACAGCCATCCTACGGCCATGTAATCTTCAACAAAGCTGATAAAAACAAGAAATGGGAAAGGACTACCTATTCAATAAATAGTGCAGGGATAACTGGCTATTCATATGGAGAAGAGTGAAACTTGACCCCTTCCTTTTACTGTATATAAAAATCAATTCAAGGTGGATTAAAAACCTAAAACTATAAAACTACTTGAAGAAAACATAGAGGATATCATTTCAGACATAGGCCCTGGCAAAGATTTCATGATGAAGGTGCCAAAAGCAATTGCAACGAAAACAAAAATTGACAAGTGGGAGCAAATTAACTACAAGCTTCTGTACAGCAAAATAAAGTATCAACAGAGTAAAGAGAAATCCCACAGAATGGGAGAAAATATTTACAAACAATGTATCTGACAAATGTCTAATATCCACAATCTATAAGTAACTTAAACAAATTTACAAGAAAAAAACAAACAACCCCATTATAAAGTGGGCAAAGGACATGAACACACACTTCTCAAAATAAAAAAAAAAAACATAAGCAGCCAACATACATACAAAAAAAAATGCTCATCATCACTAATCATTAGATAAATGCAAATACAAACATATTTAGATAACATTTCACACCAGTCAGAATGACTACTATTAAAGAGTCAAAAAATAATAGATGCTGGTGAAGCAGTGGAGAAAAGAGAATGCTTATACACTGCTGGTGGAAGTGTAAGTTAGTTCAGCCCTTGTGGAAAGCAGTTTGGATTTCTCAGAGAACTTAAAACAGAACTACCATTTGACTACAGCATTCCCATTATTAGGTATATACTAAAGGAATATAAATCATGCTATCATAAGACACATGCACACATATGTTCAATGCAGGACTACTCACAGTATCAAAGACATGGGATCAACCTAGATGCCTATTGATGGTAGACTGGATAAAGAAAATATGTCACATATACACCAAAAAATACTATATAGCCGTATAAAAGTATGAGACTATCCTTTGAAGCAACATTGCTGTAGCAAGAGGCCATTATTCTAAGCAAGCTAATGAAGAAACAGAAATCAAATAACACATGTTGTCACTTATAAGTTGGAGCTAAGCATTGAGTACACATAGATACAAAGAAGAGAACAATAGACACAGGGCCTACTTGAGGATGGAGGATGGGAGGAGGGTGAGGATAAAAAAACTGCCTATCAAGTACTATGCTATTTACCTGGGTGACAGGTACAACAATCCCTTGCAACATGCAAGTTACCTATTTAACAAACCTGCACATGTGCTCCTGAAATTAAAGCTTAATAAAAAAAGAAAAATTTTAACCATAATAGAGTTTATCCAAACAGTTTAAGATTGTTTCAATATTAGTAAATCCATTACTATTATTCAACAGCATAATAGTAGATCCACAACAAGAAATTTTTAAAATTACAATGTGATACCACTTCACATCCTTTAGAATGGCACAGTAAGAAAGAAGAAAAAGAAAGAAAGAGAGAGAGAAAGAAAGAGAAAGGAAAGAAAGAAAGAAAGAAAGAGAAAGGAAAGGAAGCAAAAGAAAAAAAGAGAAGAAAGGAAAGAAAATAAGAAATTGTTAAGGATGTGGAGATGTTACAACTTTTCTTATTGCTGGCAAAATGTAAAATAGTGCAGTCACTGGGCAAAATTGTAGTGATTTCTCTAAAAATTAACATACAATTATTGCATGACCCAGTAGTTCCACTAGCAGATATATGCTCAAGAGGAACGAAAATAGGGACTCAAAGAGGTATTTGTATACCAATGTTCATGGCAGCATTTTTCACAATAGCCAAAAGATGGAAACAACCAAAATTGTTATCAATAGATCAATGGATAAGAAAAAGTAGTGTGTGTGTGTGTGTGTATATATATATATATATATATATATATATATATATATATATATACAATGAAATATTATTCATCTTTAAAAAACAGAAGGAAATTCTGGCACATACTATAGCATATGATAAACCTTGAAAAGATTATAATAACAGTAGACAAAAAATGAGAAATATTGTATGATTCCACTTATACACTTTTAGGTGGCATATAGAATAGTCAAATTCAGCTGTGCACGGTGGCTCATTCCTGTAATCCCAGCACTTTGGGAGGCCAAGGCGGGCAGATCACCTGAGTTCGGGAGTTGGAGACCAGCCTGACCAACATGGAGAAACTCCAACTCTACTAAAAATACAAAATTAGCCAGGGGTGGTGGTGCATGCCTGTAATCCCAGCTACTCAGGAGGCAGAGGTAGGAGAATCGCTTGAACCTGGGAGGCAGAGGATGGGGTGAGCCAAGATCGCATCATTGCACTCCAGCCTGGGCAACAAGAATTAAACTTTGTCTCAAAAAAAAAAAAAAAAAGTCAAATTCATACACACAGGAAGTAGAATGGTTATTACCAGGGATTTGCTAAAGGAAGAAATGGGAAGTTAGTGTATCATGGGTACAGAATTTCAGCTGGGAAAGATAAAAAATTTCTGAATATAGATGGTAGTGGTTATTATTTAATATGCATGTACTTAGTGTCACTGAATCGTAAATGTAAACATAAAGTAGTAAATTTTATTTTATGTATATTTTACCATAATAAAAATCAGTGAAAGAGAAAGACACCTTATGATTATTTTCATAGATACAGAATAAAAGACATGAAGAAAATTCAATACACATTTGTTGATAAAAGAACTCGACACCATCATTCTCAGCAAACTATCACAAGGACAAAAAACCAAACACCGCATGTTCTTACTTATTGGTGGGAATTGAACAATGAGAATACATGGACACAGGAAGAGGAATATCACACACCAGGACCTGTTGTGGGGTTGGGGGAGGGGTGAGGGATAGCATTAGGAGATATACCTAATGCTAAATGACGAGTTAATGGGTGCAGCACACCAACATGGCACATGTATACATATGTAACCTGCATGTTGTGCACATGTACCTTAAAACTTAAAGTATAATAATAATAAAATTTTTAAAAAAAGAACTCACAGAATAGGATGTTTTAAAAGGATAAAACATATTCCTAAAGCCTGCATTTTGATTTTAATGGAAACATAAGTGATACTGCCACTATGATTAGGGAAAAAATAAGGATATTCCTTATTTTTATTGTAACTAGAATTGTACTAAATATATTAGTCAATGCAACTAGGCAAAAGGAGTCAAAGACAGTTTGAAGAATAAGAAAAGAAGAAATAACATTCACTATTTTCCTATATCATGATAATGTAACTATCATAGAGAACTAATCATATATTTAATTCGAGTAATAATTTGAAGAGGTAGAAGGTCGAAAATTAACATACAGAAATCAACAACCTTCACATAAACACACAGTAACCTGTGAGAAGATATTATAGCTTAAAATATTTATTTATAATAGCCAGTAGGATAATAAAATACCTAGAAATAAGCCTAATAGTAATGGACAACACATCTATGAAGGAATATATAAAAATACCAAAAGAAATACAAAATATTTGTCTGGAGTGAGTAAAAAGCCATTTCTAATTCTTGGATAGGAGAAACATATAAAGGGGAGTTTATTAAGTGTTAACTTACATGATCACAAGGTCCCACAATAGCCTGTCTGCAGGCTGCGGGGCAAGGAGAGCCAGTCCGAGTCCCAGAACTGAAGAACTTGGAGTTGGGTGTTCAAAGGAAGGAAGCATCCAGAATGGGAGAAAGATATAGGCTGGGAAGCTAGGCCAGTCTCTCTCCTTTTCACATTTTTCTGCCTGCTTTATGTTGGCTGGCAGCAGGTTAGATTGTGCCCACCAGATTAAGGGTGGATCTACCTTCCCCAGCCCACTGGCTCAAATGTTAATCTCTTTTGGCAATGCCCTCACAGACACACCCAGGATCAATATTTTGTATCTTTCCATCCAATCAAGTTGACATTCAGTATTAACGATCACAGAGAGGTTAGTAATGAACAAGAAATTAAACATATTATACAGCATCTGCTTAAAATTGCATTGTCTCAGGAAAGATAGAACTAATTTAGGATTAATATTCACAAACATATAATAACTGTTACAGTTGAGGGAAAACAAAAATACAAAATATAAATAAGCGAATACACGAAGAGGCAATTCACAAAATTAAAAAAATGAAAACCTGATATACCATTTTGCCTTACTCTATGACTAAACAATTAAAAGCTTGACTGAAAAAATAAGGACTATCTTGGTGAAGCTGTGGGGAAACAGGCACTCTCACCCTGCTATGATTATTACTTACTACATCACTTAATGAGGGAAACTTGACAATATCTAACAGAAATACAATTTTTTTTTTTTTTTTTGAGATGGAGTCTTGCTCTGTCACCCAGAGTGGAGTGCAGTGGTGCGATCTCGGCTCACTGCAACCTCCTCCTCTCAGGTTCAAGCAATTCTCCTGGGTCAGCCTCCTGAGTAGCTGGGACTACAGGTGTGCACCACCACTCCCAGCTAATTTTTGTATTTTTAGTAGAGATGGAGTTTCACCATGTTGGTCAGGCTGGTCTCGAACTCCTGACCTCGTGATCCTCCCACCTCAGCCTCTCAAAGTGCTGGGATTACAGGCGTAAGCCACCACGCCAGGCCAAAAAATACAAATTTTTACCTCTGATCCCGCAATTCCACTTCTAGGAAATGACCGAAAATGTAAGTCTAATATCACATTAACTTATATGCAGTGGTTATTCATTGGAGCATTGTTTATAGCTATATAGCATTAGGGAAAAAAACCTATCTTCCATTAATAATTAACTGATTGAATAAACCATGCTACTTGAAAACAATGAAGTCCATTGTAGTTGTAAATCATCATTGACAACAATCTCTATAAGCCCATATAAAGTTTTATCTAGAATACACTGCTAATTGAAAATAGTAAATTCAAAAATATTTATAGTAGAGTACAGTTAGTGTAAGAAAAATATAATAAGAACATATAAATATATCTCATTATTTTTATTAAAAATGCAAAAATAATAATGCAAAATATTATGAGAATGGGAACCTACAGAGAGTGGATGGAAATGGGGGGAAAGGATGGGGGGGGTGAATAGAGTTTAGTTTTGTTTAGTTTTAATTTTCGTAAGCATGTTTATGTTTTACATAAAATATAAATCAACAATGAAAAATAAAACAAATTACAAACAAAACAATTGAATTGATGTCTATTCCGTGTTTATAATATGGTCACACTAAAGGGAGAAAATGTTAACCCAAATAAATTCAAACACAGTATATACCCTAAAGTTTAAAATAAAAAAAGAAAAACTATAAACTAATATTGCCCTCTATTCTATTTCATGATATGTTTTTTTCTCCCAAAGATATGTTTCAGAAATTTCAGAATAAATGTATAATTTTCTATGATTTAGCAAACAAGTAGCCAAGTAGACATTTTTAGTTTAATGGGTGCCAGATTTGTCACAGTTGGAGGACAAAGTTACTAATATGGAAAGGTGGAAAGAAAGAATGTCTTCTATCATGTTGAACTGAAATCAGAGGTATCGATATGAACTTATAGTAGATGGAAAGGTAGGTAGGTGGGTGGATGGATAGAGATGAGAGGGAAACATACATCTCTCACGCATAGCACATGTGTATATGTAAATATCTGTAGAGCTTACACATGACAACCAATGGCAGTAAACACACCTAGCACAAATATATTAGTGTCTGAGTAATATTTTTCTCCATGCTTTTTGGAATAATGGCTAATTCTAGAACTAGAAGAGGAAAACTCTTGGATGTTCATGGAATATTTTGTTATACTAGAGAATAAGGAAGTTTTTAAGCATGAACGGGGCGTGTTGAAGGTCACAAGAATCAGCCTGAAGGTACACATACTGACCAAACATGGTATAATGAAATCTTCAAAATAAATAATAACAATGGAATGTAATCCACTAAATAAAATAGGTAACCCTGAGTCCATCATGGTATCAATAAATTTAAGAATAAACCAATAAAGTAATAGTAAGGAAAAGTTTTTTAAAAAATATTGAGACAGCAATAATAAATGCTGAAGAAATCATAGTGTTAGTAAAACAATATTTGTCAACCATAATGATAATTATAAAATAATTATCCATTTGTTGCTAAAAGCAGCAATGGATGCTAAATCTAACCAGTGCAAGTTTGATGAGAAACAGAATATTTGTTTTAAGGTGATTCTTTTCAATATGTTGTTTAGTTAAAAAGTAAATAATCATAAAATTAAAGTGGGGGAAAAAACTTTACAGTCAACATCTTCATCCAGTGGCCAAAGTAAAGATACCAATAAAGGGAATGGCAGGCATCTCGTGCCTCCTGACATGAAGCACATAGAAGGGCACAACACCACCTTTGTGGTACTTTTGCTGAAAATGAATAGCTTGAATCTCATCACAAGGAAAAAATGGACTAGCCTAAATATGAAACTCTACAAAATAAAGATCCTGAACTCTTTAAAAATGCAAGGGACTGAAAAACAACAGCAACAAAAAGGTTGAGAAATTGTTTCAGATTAAAGGAAAATAAAGGGTCACAGTAATTAGCTATAATGTGTGGTTATGATCCAGGCAATGGATCAGGATGACAGTGTGGAGACTAAACAGCATTACTGAGACAATGAGAAATTTGAATATGGACTCTGATTAAGATAATAGTACTATATTAATACTAGATGTTATGGCTTAGGTTCTACTGTAGTTTTTTTTTTTATTATTTTTTGGATATGTACTTTGAAATAATGAAATAAAATTCCAAAAATTTGTTTATTCTGGGTAAAATGTAGTGAAATGTAATGAAAAGATTGGGAACAATTGTGGCAACATGGATCTATTAGACTATTCTTGCTAATTTTGATATTATTTTATTTATTTTTGTTTCTCCTTAATGACTGTGTGTTTTATTTATTTTTATTATTTTTTAACTGGGTGTCTGGTATTCTTTTTTAAAAAACTTTTAGGTTCAGGAGTACATGTGATGGTTTGTTATATAGGTAAATTGTGTATAATGGGAGTTTGGTGTACATAATATTTCATCATCCAGATAATAAGCATAGTACTCAATAGGTAGTTTTTCAATCTTCATTCTCCTCTCATGCTCCACCCTCAAGTAGGGCCTCGTCTCTGTTGTTTGTTCTTTGTGTCCATATGTACTCAATATTTAGCTCCCACTTATAAATGAAAACATGCAGTATTTAGCTTTCTGTTCCTGTGCTAATTTGCTTAGGAGAGTGGCTTCCAGCTTCATCTATGTTGCTGCAAGGACATGATCTCATTCTTTTTTTGTGGCTGCATAGTATTCCATAGTGTATATGTACCACATTTTCTTTATCCAGTTTACAGTTAATGGGCATTTAGGTTGACTCCATGTCTTTGCTATTGTGACTAATTCTCCAACAAACATTTGTTGCACGTGCCTTTATGGTAAAATAATTTATATTCCTTTGAGTATATAGCCAATAATGAAATTGCTGGGTCAAATGGTAATTCTGGCTTAAGTTCTGTGTGAAGTCACCAAGCTGCTTTCCACAATGGCTGAACTAATTTGCATTCCCACCAACAGTGCATAAGTGTTGCTTTTTCTCTACAACCTTGCCAGCATCTGTTAGTTTTTGACTTTTTAATAATAACAGCCATTCTGAGTGATATGAGATATCTCATTGTGGTTTTCATTTGCATTTCTCTAATGATTAGTGATGTTGAGCATTTTTTCATATTCCTCTTTGTGACGTGTATGTCTTCATTTGAGAAATGTCTGTTCATGTTCTTTGTCTGCTTTTTTATGGGGTTGTTTGTTTCTTTGTAAATTTGTTTAAGTTTCTTATATATTCTGGATATTAGACACTTGTCAGATGCATAGTTTGCAAATATTTTCTTACATTTTTGTAGGTTGTCTGTTTGCTCTGCTGTTAGTTTCTTTTGCTGTGCAGAAGCTCTTTAGTTATTAGGTCCCATTTGCTATTTTTCATTTTTGTTGCAATTGCTTCTGGCATGTTTGTTATGAAGTCTTTCCTATGTCTGGAATGGTGTTTCCTAGGTTATCTTTTATAAAATCAACAAAAACAAGCAATGGGAAAAGGAATCCCTTTTCAATTAATTTTGCTGGGATAACTGGGTAGCCATATGCCGAAGATTGAAACTAGACCCCTTTCTTACACCATATACAAAAATTAACTCAAAATGGATTAAATACATACATGTAAAGCCAAAAATTTTACAGAACCGTGGAAGGTAACCTAGGAAATACCATTCATAGGAGTATGAGTTTTATTTCTTTAGAATTTGGCTGTATCGACTGAAAGAAGTAGGACAGTGCTGTAGAAGAAATTTAGGATTCAAACAGGTATGACACAACAGAGTTATACATAATTTTAAAATGAAGACACGACATATTGAGGTTATAAACGGAATGAAAGATGATGGTTTCACCTAATAGCATATATAATGACTCTTGACTCAAAACTAACGGTTTGTTGCAACATAATTTTCCCTGATACAATTAAGTATCACTTTGCACTATGTTCAGAAAGCTTTCAGAAATGCCTCAAGCACTCCATGATTAAATTAAATATATACTCAAAATTCTATTTTAAGATATTAATATAGTACTCTTATGAGGAAAACAGAAAAGTAAAAATTCACCAATAATGAAAAAAATATGTAATTTTGAACTTGCAGTAATAATAAACACTAAAGTGTAACTATTACTTTGGATGCTATTAGATCCCAGAAAACAGCCTCCCCAGGAAAAACAGCAGGGATATCAGCCTAATCTCAAGAAGTTAAATTTATGTTAATCCTCTAACTGTGTACAATAATTACTTAGTTGACAAAATTTTATTTCCTAATGAAATGTTGTAAAAAGAAATTGGCTTTGTAAAGTCAAGTTCTTAATTACAGAGATTCACAAATGCATTATTTATACGAGTACCAGTAGACTATGTTACTAATGTAAGTAACCTATGAGCTTTTTCCTTAATAGACATAGAATTAAATATTTCTCTTTTGAGGACTTGAACTAATTACTTTAAATCTCTAATTTTCTCCTCAAACAAATAGGATTAAGAGTATTAATGCATAATTAGCAATGTCATAGTACGTGTTATACATATATTCAGGGTTTTATACACAGCAATTCATCCTATGTAATAGCCTTCCATACTATATAAAATTGCGTATAGTATCGGACCCTATATACACTATGCACAGATGTATTTTTCCTTCTTCACAATTTCAAAGATAGAATATTTGTTCTTACTGTAGATTTTAGCAACCTTACCATACAATTATTTTTATTCCTTATTAAGTCAAGAACCTTTATCTTTCCACTTAAAGAAAGCACTTCATGGCTTCTATTTGGCACATCCAAATTGCCGACATACTACCCTTGCACTCTGGGGCCACTATTAAGTAAAATAAGGCATACTTGAACACAAGCACTAAGATAATGTGACAGTGAAACTGATCACAGAGAGACGGCTGCTAAGTGACTAACAAGTGAGGAGTGGGTAGAGTGTGGATCTCCTAGACAAAGGGATGATTCACATCCCAGATACGATAGAACAGGAAGGTACAAGATTTCCTCACACTACTCAGAATGGCCTGCAATTTGAAACTTCTGAATATTTTATTTCTGGAATTTTATATTTAATATTGTCAGACCACGTTTGACCTTGGGTAACTGAAATTGTGGAAAATGAAACCATGGGTAAGGGGGCTACTCTATTCATTTTCACTTTTTCTAGTAATTATTCCTTATCCAAAATGCTTGGGACCAAAAGTCTTTCCAATTTTGAATATTTTTGGATTTCTTAATATTTGCATTATATTTGCCATTTGAGCATCCTTAATCCAAACATCTGAAATCCAAAATGTTCCAATGACCATTTCCTTTGAGCATCATATCAGAACTCAAAAAGTTTCAGATTTTGTAGCTTTTTAGATTTCAGATGTTCAGATTAGAGATACTCAACCTGTATTTCCCATTATTGTATTTCATTCTGTTTGTATTATTACATGGAATAAATTTAAGTGGTAATATAAACTTGAAAAGAGAATGACTCTTTTACCTTTAATCATTCCAGGTAGATGGCCTGGATATTTTAATGTTTCTAATGTATTTTTTTAAGTATACTGGGTTAAGATTTGTATAGAATTATTTATGTATCTGGTATATCCTTTGTCATTAGGAGGTTCAGAGCATCAGCTGAAAAAGGTTTAAATTAAAAACAATAGCAACAAAAAGAAACAAGTAATTTTAAATTTTAAGTGTAGTCATTTCATTTCAGTAAGTTCTATTTTATTTATTTCAGATGATACTATGATTAAATAATTTATAAACCAATTTTATCCCTGATCTATTTTCTAAAATATTTTCACCTCTTGAAGTCTCAACTGAATACAGATTTTTGTTCTATGTTATATTGGTTTGATAAAAATTCAAAAAGTATTGATGATGTACATTGCTTAATCTTAAGAAAAGCTATTTTAAGAACAAAGATGTGTTAGTGAGCATAATGACTAAAAAATTGAAATTTAGTCATGTAGAAGTAAGGAAGTAAAGATTAACCCCAATGAAGAAATAAAAACATGTCCAGTGATTCAACAAACCACCAATAATTGAAACGAATAAAGCCAGCTGAAAGGCTAACAGAAAATTATATTTTTCCTGGGCTGTGCTGCAGCTGTGAAGTACCATAAAAAATGCTGTTTTTTGAGGGAGACTGTTGCTTTATTTCTCAATGAAAATATTTGTTTTCTAAACTCATAGATTATTACAATCTTTGTTATTTGATATTGTATTGGTAAAATGTATATCATTATTACCTGCAGGATCTAAGTCAGCTTGACACAGAGAGACATCTCAATTTAAAGCCCTGATGAAGAGATTTGGATAAATGATTTCTGGACATGGAGTTCCACATTTACCTTAATTTTGTAGTTTCCAAAGAAAGAGCACTTTGGGTTCAATTTGCATCTAGAGCCAATGTTGACTTTGTTACACACAAGCCTGCTTTGTCTATTTTATTTTAGAACTGAATAATGATAAACGAAGCTTCCTATAGTACATCTTTGCTGATAGTTTAAAAAGTCCTCTTAATTTTGTAAGGTGGCCTGACAGAACATGAGCAACATATAAAAGAATGTTGCCCAACAAAATGTTGCCCCCAAATTGGGCAACACAAAAAGCAGCAGTAATCGTAGATGTCCTGCTCTCACTTATTTCACCAATTAATGGCATTTGATAGTTGCCATACAGTTAAACATGCTACATGCCTCATGTTTCTCTGTTTCATAGTTTCCAGTAAATAAATACGACCAGGCCTGAGGATTTACAAATTTTGATTTGGTGTGGCAGAATCAAAGTTTATATGAGGAACATACGAGAGGGTGCTCAGAATGTAACTTTGTGGAGGGCTTGGAGAGGAGATACTGATTTCTATATTAATAGGGCTTAATGGAGAAGACACATATATTGAGTAAGGCAAAGAGGCAAATAGGAAGTGAGTTGAAAGACATTCAGAAGAAAAATGCAGAGGGAATAAACAAAGAACAGAACCTATGACACTTAGGTTTATTCCCATTTTGAACAACACAGGGCATGTAAAAACTCAAATATGATTGATTGATTGTAGATACTAAAAATTGCAAAATATATTGAAATTTTTAAGTTAAACTTTCAAATGCAATTTCTTTGTATTATGCATGTACTTTGAAAAGTTGTTAAAAAATTAAGCATGATATGTTTTAAAGAAACAAAAATAAGAGCTCTTCTATCCTAGGTTTGGAGAGGAAAAATAGAAGCTGCAGCCACTATCCAAGAATCAAGGTATAATACCTGTTGGCTACATAACAGAGTGACTTTGCCCAATGTTATCAGTATTTTAATGAGGACCTCTAGCTTTCATACTGTGTGAGTTAGGGAAATGTAAGGGATTAGAGTTTTGAATGAAACTATAGAGACCTTTGCCGATATATGTACATATGTATATATGAATGCATGCATGTATGTATCTTTCTATCTATCAGTGAATCTATGTATCTATCTACCTATCTATCTGATGAACTCTGGCTGTTGTATTGGGAATGCTTTCATAGGAGCAAGAACAGTAAATGGGTGATAAGCTGCTTCTGAATTGAACTAGGAATGCAGAAATGCATGTGATCATATGGTTCTGAGTATACTTTGGAAATTGAGGCAGCATGATTTTCTGACAGATTGCATAGGTTTTGGAAGACAAAAAGAAAAGTCATGGAGGCCAATGACTTTCAAATGTGTATTTCCACACAGACATTTTTCTCCTGAACTTAGACTTACATTTTATATGTAGAAAAACATAATTTGAAGAATGAAAATGATGGTGTCATTTATGGACAAGAGTTTAAAAACCTAACCAAAGGCAAAAAAAATCAAAAATAAATATCTAACTCATTTACGGTTAGATTTATGGAGGAGAGAAGGAATAAATGAAAGAGATATTCTTTATTATATGAATATTTAAAAGTTATCACTTTATCTGAATGAAGAATGGAATGCTACCAATATTCTCATGAAGACACTATCACTGTGAACATTTCATTGTATTGCACACATTATTTCGATATTTTGTCTATGTCTGTGTGCACATTTATATTCAAATGGCTATATCTGCACCTGCATTAAGCATGCCAAGATGCCCACTACTTCATATTTTATTTTTGAGACAGGGTTTCACTCTGTCACCCAGGTTAGAGTGCAGTGACACAATCATAACTCTCTGTAGCCTCGAACTCCTGGACTCAAGCAATCCTCTCATTTCAGCCTTCTGAGTAGCTGAGACTACAGGCACTGCCATCATGCCCAGCTAATTATTATATTTTTTGTAGAGACATGGTCTCACAGTGTTGCCCAGACTGGTTTTTCACTCCTGGGCTCAATCTATCCTCTTTCCTTCGCCTCTCAAAGTGCTGGGATTACAGGCATGAGGCACCATACCTGGCCCATGTCATTTAACATGTTCATAAGCATTCTTTAGCTTGCAATATCTTTCTATATGAAAATATGCTAGTTGGATTAATCTTGCTTTAAATAGAAAATATTTAATTATCAAAATTGATGTTCTTTACATTCTACCAAAATTTTATGTGAATTTACCACAATTTATTGTTATTTCCTTGTAGGCTAAGATTAAATTGATGATAGAAACATTTTAAGGTGTTTACTTACTCACTTCCAACATGAATGAGGGTGAATATGCCACTAAACCCTATACTGGTTATCTTTTTTATATTGTGTTTGCAAAAAAAAATTTTTTTAGATAGATTCTCGCCATGTCACCCAGGCTGGAGTGCAGTGGCATTATCTTGACTCACTGCAACCTCTGCTTCCCAGGTTCAATAAATTCTTGTGCCACAGTCTCCCAAGAAGCTGGGATTATAGGCAGGCACCACCATGCCTGGCTAACTTTTGTATTTTTGGTAGAGAAGGGGTTTCATCATGTTGGCCAGGCTGGTCTTGAACTCCTGGCCTCAGGTTCCAAGACATTCTTAACTCGGGGACCAAAAGTAGTGGAAAACTGTGTCTACACTATTATCTAAGTTTTGAATGAGAAAATATCCAACCAGAATTTTCCACAATGTCATGGAATAATACAGCAGAGCATAAATAGAAGTATTGAGTGCCTTAGATATATGTGCTGAGACAGTCTGACAGTGTGCCTTCATTATCTGACTGGACATGCAAAGCAGTCATATATACTTTTTCTGTGCAGTTGAAAGCAAAGCAGTCTTGATTGATAGGTGTGTGACCTGAGGTTGTCTTTTGATCATGTCAACTGGATTATTAATAATAATTGGATTATTATCATAGACCAAACTACTGGAGATCAGAAAAAAATGGAGATGTTTCCAGACAGGCCAGAATAGAAGGGATGAGATAAGTTTAGTGGAGAATTGGACAAAAGTAGAATGAGATGTTTCCAGATAGGCCAGAATAGAAGGGATAAGATAAGTTTAGTGGAGAATTGGACGAAAGTAGAATGAACAATATACATCCCTTAGAAAATCAGTTACTTAGGTGACTCACAAGACTTAAATTTTTTTTTCCAATTCTATAATAAACATAAGCTACTGGAACTCACTATTAACCAAATGAGAAATGGGGAGAGTGAGAGCACTAATTTGATTAGGTTTTCCTTGAATTCAGTAGGAAAAAAAAAAAAAATGACTTAATTAAATTTGACTCAATAAACCTAGCCCAAAAGTGGCTCAAAGTAGAAACATGTTTGAAGTATTGAAAAACAGTTACATATTTATAAACATATATGCATTTAAATATGTAATCATTTATACGTGTACATAAATAGTTGGATATATTATATATATTTATGTTTATTTATATGTGTGTATGTATGTAAATATAACTGTTATGTATATATGTATATTCAATAGTCACCCATCTCCAAGACACCCAGTGTATCCCTAAAACCACAGAGAGCATCAACTCTACACATTCTATATTTCTTCTTACATATACATACCTATGATAAATTAAATTTATAAATTAGGCACAGTAAGTTATTTTAAAAAACTAAAAATAGAACAATTATAAAAATATACCGTAATAAAAGTTATTTTAATGTGATTTCTTTCTCTCTCGCTATTTTTCTCAGAAAATATCTTAATATCTTCAGACCGTGGCTGAGCATGGGTAACTGAAACCGTGCAAAGCAAAAACATGGAGAAGAGGGGACTGCTGCAAATACACATATATGTATGTATCTATTTCACACAAGAGTATGAAAACATTACACTTTAACAGTTTAACAAAGAAGGAAACAACAGACACTGGGGTCCACTTGAAGATGGAGGGCGGGAGGGCGGAGAGGAGCAGCAAAAATATCCATCGGGTACTGAGCTTCATTCCTGGGTGATGAAATGATCTGTACAACGAACCCCTGTGACATGGGTTTACCTGTGTAACAAACCTTCACACATACCTCAGAACCTAAAATAAAAGTTAAAAAAAGAAATATGAAAGTAAAAAAAGTTAAACAATGTTCATAAATGTTTTGATTGTTTAGTGACTACTTTTATATTAAACTTCTATCTAGCTAGAATTGACATTGCTATTAGGTATAATTTATAGATATAAATGGATTTTTGGGTAGCTATCCATACTGCTATTGCTTATTGAATATTAAAATATTCCCCATTTACTCTAGCTTTTTGTAATTATGTGTTATTTATTCTGACTCCGTGTGTGTGTGTGTGTGTGTGTGTGTGTGTGTGAGATAAAGGTAGGGAACTGGTTTCATTCTTCTGCATATGGCTAGCTAACTATTACAGCACTCTTTATTGAATAGGAAGTCCTTTCTCCATTGCTTATTTTGTTGACCCCCTACACCAGGATCTTTGTACAGAAAGGGCAGGGGAGCTCAGGTTGCAATCTGGGTGAGCAGGTGCTTTGAATGTCTGGAGAGTTGCCTGGATGTAGAGCAGAGGGGGTCCTGCTACACTGTGATCTATGCACAGGAAAGGTGTCACGGCACAGGCTGCTGATACAGGTAACTAGGTGCTCTGAATGCCTGGAGCTCTACCTGGGCATAGAGTAAAGTAGGCCCCACCAAAATATCTATGCCCAGGAAGAGCAGAGTGGCTCAGGCTTCTGAACCAGGCAAGCAGGTGCTACGAATACCTGAAGATCTGCCTGGGCATGAAGTGGAGACACCCCTGACCCCAAGCACCAAGATCTTTGCATAGAAAGGGTAGAGAGGCTTAGGCTGACAATCTAGGCAAACTAGAGCTTTCAATGAGTGGAGATCTACCTGAGGGTGGAGGAGAGAGGATCCCTGTGCACCACTATCTATGCCCAGGAAGGGTGGGGCAGCTCAGACTGCTGGTCCAAGCAAGTGTGCGCTCTGAGTGCTTAGATATCTGCCTTGATGTGGAGTGGAGAGGGCCTCAGTGGATTGCAATCTTGAGGGAGCAGGCTAGGGCATGCAGCAATGACACACAGAGACCAGTTCCAGGTCACCAAGCTGGCCCTAGGTATAAATCTCCCAACCTGGGAGAAATCACAGCTGTAGCAGCTCTCTGATGTTCTCAGGCCTGTGATTGGGGAGAGCACAATTCCAGTACCTACTGCTGAGGCAATTTCAACAGTTCTGCTATGGAGGTACCAACTGCATTGCAAAGCAAGTGCTCCAATCTTTGGCCTGAGACTAAAATGCCTTCACAGCCATGCTGCTGGGTTGCCAAAAAGTGACAGAACTTGTATGTACACAGATTAAAAATGACATCTTGCTCTCAGTCCCAGGTATGGGAAAATGACCACAGCTTTTCTTGGTGTCCTTCCCTCTCAGCACCTTCAAGTCTCTCCCCAAGTTAGCTCCAGGTCTTGGGAGAAACAAAATGCTATCTGTTGGCCAATGAAAATGTGAGTCATAGAGGGAGGCTCTCTGCCTCACTCAGGGACTGTACCGGGGCTTAACTCATTTTTATCAGCTGGACGCCATCATGGGGACTGTTTTGTCTTCCTGGGTATCTGGTATCCTTCACAATTCTGGTGAAACCCATTTTCTTCTCCAATTAAAGGGCACAGAGTTGATATTTATGCAGGATCTTTCTATTTTTAGTGGGGTGAGGCATGCTAAAGATATCTGATCTACAACCTTGGGGGAAAAGCATATATATATAATATTTGGGTTATGATTGAATTCTGGTTTATTATTTTGTAGATCAAAATTGTTTCAGCTTTAAAGATTGGAAGCTCTTTCAGTTGACTCCTGCATCATTTTACCTGCTTCCATCAACACAGGGCTTGTTTTAGCACTAAATGACTTGCTGGAGTGACAAGACAGTCCAGGTTTATTATGAATGTTCCTTATCCCAGTCTTAGAATCAGACATTTTTCCAGGGAACATTGGTTTATTTTCCTGGAGAATGGCATTAGAAATCAAGATATGGGTGCTAGGTATGCTCATTGTACTGGAGTTTCTTGCTTCTAGCTGCTGTCTACTGAGAGTGTAAGGAATTATATGCATGTATACTAACCTCTGCATAAACATAATTATACATATTCCTAGATATGGGTATCTCTGTGTATATTGAGCTGAAAATGAATTCATAATGATGGCTCCAACTCGATTCTGTGACCATATGTTTTATTCTAACCTCCTACCCTTGCTTACCTGTAACATTTCACTCCAACTGTGAAAAACCTGGCTCTCACCATCTGCCATCTATTTACTTAATTGTTCAACTCTTGTATACATGTATGAATACAAATGCATTGATAAATATTAAGCAGTAAAAAATCATTAAAAAGCAAAAAAGGCTTCCAAAAGAATTTCTTCATCTGAAAGGTAAGAATACACCAAATTAAAAATTATCAGTGACATGCAAATTTAGTGATATATTACAGACATATGTCACCACCACCACGCGTTTCATCAGAGCAAGAGTCTCCTATATTTCCAGACTGTTGTGTAAAGTTTCTTTCTCTGCCTTGAACTAGTTGAAGTGATTAAATCAGAAGTATGGGTCCAAAGCAAAACTGTCCTCTGCCTAGTCTCTATAATAACATAAACTAGAGAAGTGAAGGTCGATAACCCAGTCAGCTTATGGAGAGTAAACCACATTAAATATATCCAGCAGTGTTCAAAGCCTTGCCAAATTCTGGTGTAAGAATAATTACATTTTACATTTTACCTTTACTCCATTTATGAGAGTCACCATCATATACCAGAAATCTACACAAGTAAACCCCCAATGCTTACATGTTAATCACTATATATATTTCTGCATATCATTTGTTCTCATCTAAATTCCAACACCTCTCAAACTCCTAGCATGCTTATCTTATGCCTTCTGAATCCCACATTCTATCAGAGCATGAGCCACCTATATATCCAACCTGTTGTGTAAGAATTTATGTCTTTGCCTTGAACTAGCTGAAGCTAGGTCCTTCTCAAAGGATACTGCCTCCTGTGTACCAACCTCATACTAAGTCTGGAAGCAGCTTAGATTTTTCCATAATTCCTGTGTGCCATTTCTAAATTAGTCTCCTTTCCCTGTCTCTAAAAACATAAATTTTAAAATTTTATGTCATCCAAGTGACATAAAATTTAACTCAAAACCTCTCCTTTTTGCAGTAATATGCAATTGTTCGGATCCACTGGGTTTTACTGTGTAAAACAGTGGTTCATTGTGACTATCTTAAATTGTGCTTCTGTCAGAATTCTTGGGGATTCCAGTGTTATGCTACTTCTGTTAATACCATATACTCTCAATAGATTGTCATTTGTTTTTCCGAAATGCTTGTTTTTCTCCCTTCCTCAGCAATTCAATTTCCGTATCATCGTCTTGCCATTACCAATAATTTCAAATTTAATACATATATCATCCCAGTTTCAAGGATCATATTCTCTGAACTCCATTCTCTAAACACATCCTATTACTCTGAGTCTCATCGTTGTTCTGACTTCACTGGGGATTGCTAGCTATTGCTCCTGCAATTATGTTATATCACTTACTAGTTCCCTATTCCTTATCCAATATGTTCACTTTCCTTCTTACTTTCATACTAAAATATCTGATCATTCAATAATATATTTTTTCTCCTTTTTTGTCCACTCCCTTAGAAATGTTTCAATCTTGGTGAAATTCAATTACGTTCCTTCTCCATATCATGAGTGCACACACACACACACACATACACTACAAATATATGACTATTGAAAACATGTCAACGTGGCAATAATATAATTTTTTATGGCCCTGACTATTCCTTTGCTCCCCTCCCAGGTATTTTAATTTTGTTACAGTAGGTAGATAGTCAAACATGAGCAGGACAGGAGAGAGCCCTCCCCACCAGGAATGTCAGAAGACCATCACGTGATAGTCAGGCAGTTGTTAAGGTGTCTCTCTAAAACAGTAATTGTTCGCAGCTGGCGCCAGAGAAAGGCAGTCTCCCAATAGATGGAAAAAATTAAAATTGTTTATTAGTTTCCCGATAGGATCTCAAGAGTTGGGCGAGTGCGCTCCAGCATTCACAGTAAGAGGCAGAATGGTGGAGTTGAACTTGTATATTATCTTCCTCTAGGAACATATGGGAAAAGTGCCTCAAGTGAGCATGTGCAAAATTTCAGTAACACACTGCACATGTGGCCCTTCCCAAGTGCTGGCAGGCCAGGGCACATGTGGACAGCCCACTGCAATGGAAGAATCAGGGGAGAAGGGATGCAAGGCCTTGGAAGTGTGCCAAGGTATAAAACCCTAAGTCAAGGTCAAACGGTGCACTTGATCTCTCAAGTTTCCTACAAGTACATTTTACTTCCTTTCATTTCTGCTCTAAAGATTTTTAATGAGCTTTCACTCCTACTCTAAAACTTGCCAGTTTAAGAGACTGTCTAGTTCCGTAGGAATCCAAATCAAATCCACAGGAATAACATTAATACAATAAAAGATTTATAAACAAGAATTTCTTGGACCGTAGTTAAAAAAGATGAAAAATTGGTAAAGTTTGAACTAGATCATCATGAATGTATAATACTGCAATATCAAGAATGCTTAATGTTGCTCAGCTAATTTAACAATACCACCCTCATTTAGAAAAAAGAAATTTCAAAGACATAGAAGGACATAACATATTTGAGGAATGGCAAAAAGTTCAAAGTATGTTTCATTGAATAAATGGGCATAGACATATAAGATAAGGAAAGTCAGGATATATTATTGTTGTGATTTAAATCTTGCAGGAAAACCTTATTAGTTGTTAGCCAAATAAAAATGTGAACAAAAATGATGATTGTACTTATTCAAAGACAGCCATTTGATTTTTAAAGTTTATATTTTATGATTACAGTGAAAGAAATTTTTCATATCATTGAATACTGTCTAGGCAAGAGGGTCAGCAACGCTTAGAGAGCAAATAGGCCTTGTGCTTTTTTAGTGAAAGTGAGACCTTTGAAAGATGCACGCAGTCTAGAAGTTGCTGGAGCCTAAAATGTGCATCTGGAGAAAGGTATCGGTATCCTTCCTGCTCACTCGGTGCTCCACATGTGTCAAAAATGAGAGAGGAAAGAAGACAGTTTCTAAAAACAAAAATTCTACAGAAAAGAAACTGGCAACAAATATTGTGGGAAAAAAAGGATCAAAAATGTCTATCCCAAAGATACTCAGGAACTATGCCGTAAGACAGATCACACAAACAGTTCCACATTTCAGTCTGGGAAACAGGGACATGAAAATTAAATAGCTGCATAATCAAGAAAGCTACCTCAAATTAGCCTACATTCTTAACTTTGAAAAATATGCTTTAGATGTTACTCTCTGAAAGAGCAAGCAGCTTGTTATTTAGAACAGACAAATTGTCAAAATAAAAGACTCAGAATATCTCAAATACTTAACAGAAAAGAAAATTGTTTATCTCATTTTAAACCATTTGATAATGATATTTGCTGGGTCTCCTTTTCTATGTAGATTCAAGGGTCTAGGCTTCTTCCATCTATGGTACACCATCCCCAAGAGTCTCAATGTCCTCTGTAGAATACTCTACATTTTGTGGCAGGGAGAGAGAGTGTGAAGAAACTTGTAGGAGGGTTTTATTATAGGGAATAGTCTTAGGGGTGACCGTAATGTTTCTACTTACATTATATTGGTTGGAACTGAGTCATATAACCATATCTAGTGACCAGGAAGTTTAAGAATCTCTGTGCATGGGAAAATGAAATTTTTCATGTGCCCATAAAAGTCTCTGGATTTGTCTTTTCATGTGTCTCCTCATGGTCACAAAGATTTTAATTCGCCTTTCAACCATGAAATAAATACACTCCCCACTCCCATGAAGAAGACAACTCAAAGTCCTGTCTACTTCCTGCCTCTAACTCAAAGTCCAGGAAAAGTGAGTGATTTGCAGACTTTTCCATGTTATATGGATGTAACTTTCTTTGGTCTTGTGACCTGTGACCTGAACAAACCTGTAATTGACCATTGTAAATCTCACTTTGATGCATAGCCATGTGTAATAGAGTAATAGTGGCCAAAAATCAATCACACAAACAAACAAACAAACAACAACAACAAGAAAAACCCCTCCCATCTGGAAAAATAGAATGAAAGACACTGAGAAGCTACTGGTCCATTACAACTTGGAGTGCTAGATTGAAATTCTTTGATTAGATCCTGATTTTGCTCCCTAGGAGGGGTTTTTCACTAATTGTTCTCATATCCTGGCTTTGACCTTCAAAAAGTTCCTTCTTGTCTATTAATCTCCATGGCTATATCTGTGTTAAGTGTTATAGAAGGTTCCCACCTATTGCTGGTGCAGGTTTGAAAATCTGTAAGTTGTTTTAACCCCAAGAGATTTGTATTTGTTTGTTTGGTTTTCTTTTATTTTGTTACTTAGGTGTTTCTATAAAAATACAATTTAGTAAAAAATTACCAGGTATCTAGTGATCTGTGCATTTCTTGTCAGTTCCATGTAGCTATCAACCACCAAGGTTCTCTACTAGACGTTTTAGTTTTCTCTTTCCTGTAGTGTAGAGAAGGGCCTTGTTATGTTGCCTGGGCTGGTCTTGAACTCCTGGCCTCAAACAGCCCACCTGTTTTGGCCTTCCAAAGTGTTGGAATTACAGGCCTGAGCAAGGGTATCTGACCCATAATTCTTAATCTGATTCATTAATTATTATCCTATACTTCAATCTCTTAAGTTGGCAGTGATGAAACTATCTGAAACAACAGGCTAAATGAGAAGATAATGCCATTAAATTTACTCCCGTAGCAAGGCTGATTGATTTTGTAGCCCTATAATCTTGTGAGATTTCTGACTTTCTCCTTTTCCTATTTAACATTTAGGATCATTCCCGAACCACTGGACACACATCACCTAGAAGAGTGTCAGAAAACATATTTTTTGGCCAAATCCAGACATACTAATTATTTTGCAAATATTCTGTGGACACTTTCTTGCTACAACAGTAGTGCTGATGGTTGTGATAGAGACCATATACAGTAGTCCCCTACATCGCTTTGCAAGATTTCAGTTACTGACAGTTAACTGCTCTCTGAAATACTAAATGGACAATTCCAGAAATAAACAATTTATAAGTTTTAAATTGCATGTCATTCTAAATAATGTGATGAAATCTCATGCCAGCCTATTCCATCCTGAGCATCTCTTTGTCCAGTGTATCCATGCTGTATGTCAAATAGTTTGGACTAGAATAATCTAAATTCAGTATTTTTTCCAGGCAAAATATTAATTGGAATAATTGTTCAAGGAGCTCAGGATTGGGTTGACTCCTAAACATTTTGAGCATGGGCCCAGTATTAGGGTCATCTTTTATGTCTTCTAAATTCTTTGTTCTCCAAAATTGGGCATGTGAGACTTATATGTGGAATCAAATTTGAACTCTTAGAAGTAGAGAGTGGAATGGTGGCTACCAAGGGCTGGGAGTGGAGGTGGGTCTGAGACTGGGAGATGTTTGTCAAAGGATACAAAATTTCTGTTATATAGGAAACATAAGTACAAGAGACCTATTGTGCCACCTGATGGCTATAGTTAATAACAATGTATTCTTGAAACTAAATAATACAGTAGATTTTAAGTGTTCTCATCACAAAAAAGATAAGTATGTGTGATAATGCTTATGTTAATTAGTTCAATTCAGCCAGCCCACTAAGAATACATGTTTCAAAACATCATGTTGTACAATATCAATATATACAATTTCAATTTGTCAATTAGAAAAATAAACACATTTTACAAAATTTTCTTCAAAGAAAATTGAGCATGGGAGAGACTAAAACATCATTTAAACTCGTGAAAAAAACAATCTCATTTCTGGT